>NC_000022.11:32800473-32951988 GCF_000001405.40 Homo sapiens | reverse complement strand
CAGGAAGCAGTTCTTGCTGACTGCAGGCCTCAGGCCACCTGCCAAGTGTCTGCCATCGGTGGAGCAGTCAGAAGAGGCCGAATGGAGGAGGGGAGGGGGCCCATGGGCTTCGCTGACAGATGCTGCAAACTGGTGTGCACAAGACCGGGAAGGTGAAAGACAAGGGCGACTGTAGGCCACAAACTGAGTCCGAGCTGGCCCAACTCTGCACACTCCAACGGGAGTCACCTCAAATAACTGGCATGCACTTGATGTCACCTCCTGCCCACCAGAAAATCACACTTGTGAAGCATGTTGGCCTGGGTATGGGTCCCAGCTGACATAATTTCCAGGGTGGAACTTGGGGAACAGTCTCTGTGCTTCCTTAAGTCTTATCTTTGACATCTGCAAAATGGGCATTGGTTCATTGAGTGATATTGACGGAGCACAGGCACTGTTTTAGGAGCTGAGATAGAGTGGTGAACAAAGCAGATAAAATCTCTGCCCTGCAGAGCTTCTACTTGAGTGAGAGAGGTAGACCATTGAATAGTTAATTGAGATGGACGTAAATCTTTATGTCACGTAGGGATGAGTGCTTTAGGGAAGAATAAGCAAGGAAATTGGCTGTGGAACCCAGCAGGGTGCTTTGCAGGGAGGATGCAGCTGGGGGCGCCACTGAGAGGGACTCTGAATGGCCTGAGGAAGGCAGCCATGCTGCTGGCTCAGGGAAGCCCTTTGGTGGTGGGGACAGGAGGCTGGAGCTTGCTTGGTGTGTTTGACAGTGTGGCAATGGCTGAGCAAGTCGGAACTAGGGGGATGGGGGGAGGCATCAGAGTAAATCATGTGAGACCTTGTAAGTCATGTAGGGTTTGTGTTTCCTTTTTATTATCACTGCTATTGTTTATCCTTTTTGAATGAGTGTCTTTGGCTATGAAAGAATTTAGGAAGTGAGGAAGATCATAATACATGCAGACTGCTGATGTTTTTTAAAGGAATTTAATGATACAGTTTCATTCCCAAGAGTAAACATATCAGTCTGCTAGGAATTAGGGTAGAATTTTGATGATAATTTGCAAGAGGGCTCAGGAATGCCCTAATCCTTCCTTGACAATCACCAGCACCACCCCTGCTACACCCCTCATTATAGGTTCCTAAGATGGCTGACAACCAAAGGAGGAACGGCAAATCACCACTGAAATTACAGTCCAGCGTTAGCTGCCCCAGGTTCGCTACCCTTAGTTCCTCTGCTAAATCTGGGCTGAATCCCTCAGTTTAGGCTTTAGAACTAAGCAGTGCAACCTCTTACCCTCCCTTGAAGCCAAACCTCATCTGCGGATGTTACTAACTAGATATGTGGCTGTTCTTACTCAAAAGTCACAAGGCCTCACAATGACAACTATGAAAAAATAGCAGGACATCCGGGCCTCCTGGGAATCAGAAGAAGCTCCCGGGAATTAGAGTTTATGGCTGCCAACTCATAGATTGGAAGTCAGAGTTGCAGAGAGAAAGATGAATGCTTAAAGATAGTATCTTTCAGGACTTAAAAAGCAGGAAAGAGGAAGTTAACACAATGACCACCCAGATCAACAGACACGTAGCTACAGAGAGGCAGAATGTGGAGGCCAGAATCACCCCCGGCCATGACCCTGCCCACTAGCAAATGTGGCATTGTGATTCCTGACCAGTAGACTAACTGCTTCTCTTTATGAGATGCAGTAAGAAAAACCTTATGGAACAGACCACGGGGTCTGAAGTTGTTCTAGCATTAGGAGAGGTGCTGAGAGTGCTGACTTTTTCCTGTGAACTTAGTACCTGTGTGTCTCTGTCTCCTCTCTGTCTCTTTTTCTCTCTCTGTTTCTCCTGCAAAATATGCAAGTGCCCAAGGCCATGGGCAGGGGAACACGCCTAAGGGTTGGGTTTAAGGGTACAGTCTGGACCAGATACTTCTTCACCAACTGACAGGAATTCCCAGTATCTTATCAGTCACCCTGGGATTCCAGACAAATCTATCTGCCAGCATCTTGCCTTTCTCAGGAACTCTGGACAACATCTCGTTGTGTCACAATCCTCCCTCAGTCAGGCTTCAAG
The DNA here is from genome assembly GCF_000001405.40 of Homo sapiens. NCBI lineage: Eukaryota > Metazoa > Chordata > Mammalia > Primates > Hominidae > Homo > Homo sapiens. The sequence continues at coordinate 32,949,921 of NC_000022.11, read as the reverse complement.
GTCAAAGCTGACAGCTGCTACCTTCACATTCCCACACATTCTTGGTTTCTTGTGTACATTCCAGTCAGTCATCCACGTCCATGTCTCGATTTCTGCTTCTTTCCTATTGACCTGTTGGCCTAATAACATGCTTCAGCTTAGTATTATGATGATGATTACAATCACCATTTTCCATTCTGTCATCAACATGATTATCATCGCAAATGCAATTATTAGTAACTAGACATGAATACCCCGTGCTTTCAGTAATATTATCTGCTTGGCATTACCTTCTTGTCAGGTGCCAGTGCCGGTGAAAATGCAGCCAAAGACCCTACAGGAAATTGAATGCATTCCATCTCTATTCCTGTGTGCGTGCACGCATGCATGCGTGTGTGTGGGTGTGTGGGCGTGTTCCTGAAACTGGACACGAGTTTAATTACAAACAGGTGCTTACAGGTTAAGCATCCCAAGTCCGAAAATCCAAAATCCAGAATACTCCAAAACCCAAAACTTTTTTTTTTTTTGACATAGAGTCTCGCTCTGTCTCCCAGGCCGGAGTGCAGTGGTGCAGTTATAGCTCACTGCAGCCTTGAACTCAAAGCTCAAGCATCCTCCTGCCTGAGCACCCCCGCCCCCCGCTGGTAACTGGGTCTACAGGTGCACACCACCATGCCTGGCTAATTTTTTAAAAAGATATAAGGGTCTTACCTTGTTACACAGGCTCGTCTTAAACTCCTGGCTTCAAGTGATTCTCCCACCTTGGCCTCCCAAGATACTGGGATTAAATCAGTGTGAGCTGCTGTGCCCGGCCAAAATCCAAAATTTTTAGTGATATGATGCTCAAAGGAAATGCTCACTGGAGCATTTCAGATTTTGGATTTTGGGATTAGAGATGCTCAACTGGTAAGTATATATACTGCAAATATTTCAAAATCTGAAAACAAATCCAAAATGCAAAACACTTCTGGTCCCAAGCATTTCAGATAAGGAATGTTCAACCTGTATCTCCTTCTGACCTAGGAGAATGTCAGAGAGATTTTCTTTCTTTCTTTTTTTTTTTTTTAGACATTTAATGAAAAACATTTAATGAAAAAATGTTTCCAAACTTAATGGAAATTTTAAACCCAAGAAGCTCAACGAACATGAAATAAGAAGAAAAAACACAAAACCATACCGAGGAACTTATTTATTTATTTATTTATTGAGACGGAGTCTCACTCTGTCACCCAGGCTGGAGTGCAGTGACGCGATCTCGGCTCACTGCAAGCTCCGCCTCGCAGGTTCACGCCATTCTCCTGCCTCAGCCTCCCGAGTAGCTGAGACTACAGGCACCCGCCACCACGCCCGGCTAATTTTTTTGTATTTTTAGTAGAGACGAGGTTTCACCATGTTAGCCAGTATGGTCTCGATCTCCTGACCTTGTGATCTGCCCGCCTCGGCCTCCCAAAGTGCTGTGATTACAGGCATGAGCCACCGCGCCTGGCCCAAAGAGATTTTCTTAATGGATGATTCCAATTATATCTAGCACCTATAACAGAGCCTGGAACTTCGAATGTGCTGCATAAATATTTGTCGTTAGGAATTGAGTTACTCCCCTCCTCTGCAACCCTTAGTGTTTCCTAGTAGCCCGCTACAGTGTCTATGCCCTAGTCCCTGGAACCTATGAAAATGTTATTCAAAAGGAACTTAGCAGATGTGATTACAGTTATGGACCTTAAGACAGGAGAGGATTCTACAGTATCCAACTAGACCCCATCAAACCACACAAGTCCTTAAAAGCAGAGAACTTTCTCATACTGGAGATGGAGATGTGGCAGACAAGAAGTCAATAAAAATTTGAAAAGTGAAAAGTACTCAGTGTGCCATTACTAGTTTGAAGATGGGAGTACAACGTCATAAGGAAAACATACAGCCCTAAGCAGCTGAGAGTCTCTCCCAGGAAACGAGGACCTCAGTTCTATAATTGCAGATAACTGACTTCTGCCAGTAACCTGGAGGAATCTGGAAGTGGCTTCCTCCCAGAGCCTTGCAATAAGAGCCCAGCTGGCCAACACCTTGATTTGGGCCATGTGCAACACAGAACAGAGAAACCAACCAAGCTAACCTGGACTTCTGACCTATATAGCAGTGAGATAATAAGTTTGTGTTGTTTGAAGGCATTAAATTTGTGATAACTTTTATGGCAGCAATAGAAGACTAATATGCTGTAGAATGATATTCACGTTCCTTCACAGGGCACTCAAAATCTTCATGAACTGGTCTCCCAGCAACCTTTGCCTTCTATTATGTGCTTCCATATACTCCATGTCCCAGCTACAAACGACACCTCACCATTCCATTGGCCCCATAGCCCTATTCTCACCTGTGCTTTTGTTCCTGGAAACTTAGGTTGAGCCTTTCCCCTGCTCTCTGCCTGAAAACATCCTCCTTGTCACAGTCTGGAGGCCCTGGCAATGCAGTTTCAGAAGGCAAGTTGCTTAATGTGTGAGGGTATCCATTCATCTGTAAAATATAAAAAATTTTGGTGATAAGTATTTTTGAATACCTACTGTGTGCCAGGAGCTGGGTATAAAACAATGAACAGCTTTCTTATAAAAAATATTCCTACTTGGCTGGCATTTCTTTCTTATAAAGTATGCCATGATAATAGATGATTTCTTTGATGACAGTTAGGGGACATTGGTTGAGAAAAAGATGAACATATAACAGTTAAATAGACCATGGACATAATTGATTCAATTAATTATAGCTCTTTAATTGAAAGATGAAGAGAGTTAAGAGCAGAGAGGAAGTGAGGGGTTTGCTTAAGGCCATACACTGGGTCAGTGTCAAATTCAAGATTTAGATCTCTGATCTCCAGACTTCAAGGCCAATCCCTTTTCCACCATTTATTCGTTCCTCCAAGTACATATTTAAAGAGTTATACACAAACAGAAAAGCTCAGATAGTCCAGTACGTTCAGTTATCATTGAGATCAGTGTTGAAAACCTCTCACAGCTAGTTTAGCAAGAGTAGCAAAATACCAAGAGCTCTGTCTGTGCCTATATATAGCCCTCATCTAGAGACCAAAGAATTAAAACCTATTTGTCCTTAATGATGTCTAGACATAATCTCCTACAAATGTATAACATGGCTATTTTCCCCCCTAAAACAATCAGAATTACATGCAGCCATCTTCATTTACTAAAGCAATATATTATGGCATGGGGTCTTTTTTTCTGTTAAAAATAAGGGAAAAAAGTTTTTTTTATTATACTTTAAGTTCTAGGGTACATGTGCAAAACGTGCAGGTTTGTTACCTATGTATACATGTGCCATGTTGGTGTGCTGCACCCATTAATTCATCATTTACATTAGGTATATCTCTTAATGCTATCCCTCCCCCTCCCCCGGCCCCACAACAGGCCCCTATGTGTGATGTTCCCCTTCCTGTGTCCAAGTGTTCTCATTGTTCAATTCCCACCTATGAGTGAGAACATGCGGTGTTTGGTTTTCTGTCCTTGTGATAGTTTGCTGAGAATGATGGTTTCCAGCTTCATCGATGTCCCTACAAAGGACACGAACTCATCCTTTTTTATGGCTGCATAGTATTCCATGGTGTATATGTGCCACATTTTCTTAATCCAGTCTATCATTGATGGACATTTGGGTTGGTTCCAAGTCTTTGCTATTGTGAATAGTGCCGCAATAAACATACGTGTGCATGTGTCTTTATAGCAGCATGATTTATAGTCCTTTGGGTATATACCCAGTAATGGGATGGCTGGGTCAAACGGTATTTCTAATTCTAGATCCTTGAGGAATCGCCACACTGTCTTCCACAATGGTTGAACTAGTTTACAGTCCCACCAACAATGTAAAAGTGTTCCTATTTCTCCACATCCTCTCCAGCACCTGTTGTTTCCTGACTTTTTAATGATCGCCATTCTAACTGGTATGAGATGGTATCTCATTGTGGTTTTGATTTGCATTTCTCTGACGTCCAGTGATGGTGAGCATTTTTTCATGTGTCTGTTGGCTGCATAAATGTCTTCTTTTGAGAAGTGTTTGTTCATATCCTTCGCCCACTTTTTGATCGCCTTGTTTGGTTTTTTCTTGTAAATTTGTTTGAGTACTTTGTAGATTCTGGATATTAGCCCTTTGTCAGATAAGTAGATTGCAAAAATTTTCTCCCATTCTGTAGGTTGCCTATTCACTCTAGTGGTAGTTTCTTTTGCTGTGCAGAAGCTCTTTAGTTTAATTAGATCCCATTTGTCAATGTTGGCTTTTGTTGCCATTGCTTTTGGTGTTTTAGACATGAAGTCCTTGCCCATGCCTATGTCCTGAATGGTATTGCCTAGGTTTTCTTCTAGGGTTTTTATGGTTTTAGGTCTAACATTTAAGTCTTTAATCCATCTTGAATTAATTTTTGTATGAGGTGTAAGGAAGGGATCCAGTTTCAGCTTTCTACATATGGCTAGCCAGTTTTCCCAGCACCATTTATTAAATAGGGAATCCTTTCCCCATTTCTTGTTTTTGTCAGGTTTGTCAAAGATCAGATGGTTGTAGATGTGTGGTATTATTTCTGAGGGCTCTGTTCTGTTCCATTGGTCTATATCTCTGTTTTGGTACCAGTACCATGCTGTTTTGGTTACTGTAGCCTTGTAGTATAGTTTAAAGTCAGGTAGCGTGATGCCTCCAGTTTTGTTCTTTCGCTTAGGATTGTCTTGGCAGTGTGGGCTCTTTTTTGGTTCCATATGAACTTTAAAGTAGTTATTTCCAGTTCTGTGAAGAAAGTCATTGGTAGCTTAATGGGGATGGCATTGAATCCATAAATTGCCTTGGGCAGTATGGCCATTTTCACAATATTGATTCTTCCTATCCATGAGCATGGAATGTTCTTCCATTTGTTTGTGTCCTCCTTTATTTCGTTGAGCAGTGGTTTGTAGTTCTCCTTGAAGAGATCCTTCACATCCCTTGTAAGTTGGATTCCTAGGTATTTTATTCTCTTTGAAGCAATTGTGAATGGGAGTTTACTCATGATTTGGCCCTCTGTTTGTCTGTTATTGGTGTATAAGAATGCTTGTGATTTTTGCATATTGATTTTGTATCCTGAGACTGCTGAATTGCTTATCAGCTTAAGGAGATTTTGGGCTGAGACGATGGGGTTTTCTAAATATACAATCATGTCATCTGCAAACAGGGACAATTTGACTTCCTCTTTTCCTAATTGAATGCCCTTTATTTCTTTCTCCTGCCTGATTGCCCTGGCCAGAACTTCCAACACTGTGTTGAATAGGAGTGGTGAGAGAGGGCATCCCTGGCTTATGCCAGTTTTCAAGGGGAATGCTTCCAGTTTTTGTCCATTCAGTATGATATTGGCTGTGGGTTTGTCATAAATAGCTCTTATTATTTTGAGATACATCCCATCAATACCTAATTTATTGAGAGTTTTTAGCATGAAGGGCTGTTGAATTTTGTCAAAGGCCTTTTCTGCATCTATTGAGATAATCATGTGGTTTTTGTCTTTGGTTCTGTTTATATGCTGGATTACGTTTATTGATTTGCATATGTTGAACCAGCCTTGCAACCAGGGATGAAGCCCACTTGATCATGTCATTCAGGAGCAGGTTGTTCAGTTTCCATGTAGTTGAGCGGTTTTGAGTGAGTTTCTTAATCCTGAGTTCTAGTTTGATTGCACTGTGGTCTGAGAGACAGTTTGTTATAATTTCTGTTCTTTTACATTTGCTGAGGAGTGCTTTACTTCCAACTATGTGGTCAATTTTGGAATAAGTGTGATGTGATGCTGAGAAGACTGTATATTCTGTTGATTTGGGGTGGAGTGTTCTGTAGATGTCTATTACGTCCACTTGGTGCAGAGCTGAGTTCAATTCCTGGATATCCTTGTTAACTTTGTCTCGTTGATCTGTCTGATGTTGACAGTGGGGTGTTAAAGTCTTCCATTATTATTGTGTGGGAGTCTAAGTCTCTTTGTTAAGTCTCTAAGGACTTGCTGTATGAATCTGGGTGCTCCTGTGTTGGGCGCATATATATTTAGGATAGTTAGCTCTTCTTGTTGAATTGATCCCTTTACCATTATGTAATGGTCTTCTTTGTCTCTTTTGATCTTTGCCGGTTTAAAGTCTGTTTTATCAGAGACTAGGATTGCAACCCCTGCCTTTTTTTGTTTTCCATTTGCTTGGTAGGTCGTCCTCCATCCCTTTATTTTGAGTCTATGTGTGTCTCTGCACGTGAGATGGGTCTACTGAATACAGCACACTGATGGGTCTTGACTCTTTATCCAATTTGCCAGTCTGTGTCTTTTAATTGGAGCATTTAGTCCATTTACATTTAAGGTTAATATTGTTATGTGTGAATTTGATCCTGTCATTATGATGTTAGCTGGTTATTTTGCTCGTTAGTTGATCCAGTTTCTTCCTAGCATCGATGGTCTTTACATTTTGGCATGTTTTTTCATGCCAGATGTACCGGTTGTTCCTTTCCATGTTTAGTGCTTCCTTCAGGAGCTCTTGTAGGGCAGGCCTGATGGTGACAAAATCTCTCAGCATTTGCTTGTCTGTAAAGTATTTTATTTCTCCTTCACTTATGAAGCTTAGTTTGGCTGGATATGAAAATCTGGGTTGAAAATTCTTTTCTTTAAGAATGTTGAATATTGGCCCTCACTCTCTTCTGGCTTGTAGAGTTTCTGCCAAGAGATCCACTGTTAGTCTGATGGGCTTCCCTTTGTGGGTAACCCGACCTTTCTCTCTGGCTGCCCTTGACATTTTTTCCTTCATTTCAACTTTGGTGAATCTGACAATTATGTGTCTTGGAGTTGCTCTTCTCGAGGAGTATCTTTGTGGTGTTCTCTGTATTTCCTGAATTTGAATGTTGGCCTGCCTTGCTAGGTTTGGGAAGTTCTCCTGGATAATATCCTGCAGAGTGTTTTCCACCTTGGTTCCATTCTCTCAGTCACTTTCAGGTACACCAGTCAGACGTAGATTTGGTTTTTTCACATAGTCCCATATTTCTTGGAGGCTTTGTTCGTTTCTTTTTACTCTTTTTTTCTCTAAACTTCTCTTCTCACTTCATTTCATTCATTTGATCTTTAATCAATGATACCCTTTCTTCCAGTTGATCAAATTGGTTACTGAAGCTAGTGCATTCGTCACGTAGTTCTCGTGCCATGGTTTTCAGCTCCATCAGGTCATTTAAGGACTTCTCTACACTGGTTATTCTAGTTAGCCATTTGTCTAATCTTTTTTCAAGGTTTTAGCTTCTTTGCGATGGGTTTGAACTTCCTCCTTTAGCTCAGAGAAGTTTGATCGTCTGAAGCCTTCTTCACTCAACTCGTCAAAGTCATTCTCCATCCAGCTTTGTTCCATTGCTGGTGAGAAGCTGCGTTCCTTTGGAGGAGAAGAGGCGCTCTGATTTCTAGAATTTTCAGCTTTTCTGCTCTGTTTTTTCCCCATCTTTGTGGTTTTATCTACCTTTGGTCTTTGATGATGGTGACGTACAAATGGGGTTGTGTTGTGGATGTCCTTTCTGTTTGTTAGTTTTCCTTCTAACAGTCAGAACCCTCAGCTGCAGGTCTGTTGGAGTTTGCTGGAGGTCCACTCCAGACCTTGTTTGCCTGGGTATCAGCAGCAGAGGCTGCAGAACAGCGAATATTGCTGAACAGCAAAGGTTGCTGCCTGATTGTTCCTCTGGAAGCTTTGTCTCAGAGGGGTACCTGGCCGTGTGAGGTGTCAGTCTGCCCCTACTTGGGGGTGCCTCCCAGTTAGGCTACTCGGGGGTCAGGGACCCACTTGAGGAGGCAGTCTGTCTGTTCTCAGATCTCAAACTCCATGCTGGGAGAACCACTACTCTCTTCAAAGCTGTCAGACAGGGACATTTAAGACTGCAGAGGTTTCTGCTGCCTTTTGTTCGGCTATGCCCTGCCCCCAGAGGTGGAGTCTACAGAGGTAGGCAGGCCTCCTTGAGCTGCGGTGGGCTTCCCAGTTTGAGCTTCCTGGCTGCTTTGTTTACCTACTCAAGCCTTAGCAATGGCGGATGCCCCTCCCCCAGCCTCACTGCTGCCTTGCAGTTAGATCTCAGACTGCCGAGCTGGCAATGAGCGAGGCTCCGTGGGCGTGGGATCCTCTGAGCCAGGCGCAGGATATAATCTCCTGGTGTACTGTTTGCTAAGACCCTCGGAAAAGCACAGTATTAGGGTGGGAGTTACCCAATTTTCCAGGTGGTGTCTGTCATGGCTTCCCTTGGCTAGGAAAGGGAATTCCCTTACCCCTTGCGCTTCCCGGGTGAGGCGATGCCTCGCCCTGCTTTGGCTCTCGCTCGGTGGGCTGCACCGACTGTCCTGCCCCCACTGTCCGACACACCCCAGTGAGATGAACCTGGTACCTCAGTTGGAAATGCAGAAATCACCCATCTTCTGCGTTGTTCATGCTGGGAGCTGTAGACTGGAGCTGTTCCTATTCAGCCATCTTGGAACCGGCCCGGGAAAGAAATTTTTAAAAATGCACTGGCTAGCAACAAATGCGCAAAAAATAATACAAATGAGAGAGTGGGCTCAAGCTTTCAACAAGGTGGAAAAGAAGTTAAAATGTTAAAGAATGTTTAGAAATATGCTGAAGTGTGAAAGTTCGTTATAAAGCAAAGAGAAACCTTTAGAGGTGTGTGAGCATGTCAATAGTGAGTTGCCATAAGTGCCGGTCCTCAGTATAGGTGATGATCTAAAAGAATAGATGTGCTTTCTCCTCCATTTATTACCCTCTCAACCAGCTGACCATACTAACAAGCTGTTAAGAATTGTGGATTTTTTTGTTTTTAATTAATAAAACTTTTTTTTTAACCTTTAAGATAAGTGAGGGTTTCGTTGAGGAGGTCTTTGAGAGGTCTGGCTGCAATGGTGGGTTGGTTGCAAAGCAAGGAATAGTAGAACACATTCTGTCTAGTCAATCATATTGCTAGGGAAACATCTAATCAGTTTATTCAGGACAGAGCCTTTGAGGTCATATGATTGACCAGTGTCCATGTGTATTTTGCAGTGAGCAAATAAGACAACTTTTTTTCTGATCAGTAGGTTAAGGAGACAGAGGATGGTCATCCTATCTTGCCTTTGCTCCTGTCATCACTGGGGCTTGTTTGGGTCACTTCTGTCTTAGAATATTATACTATCTGATGTCATGACTCACTGTAAAGCTACATTAATTGTGACAACTTGAAACAGGATAGACAAATTGATAAATAGAATAAAATAGAGAATTTAGAAATAGACTGCCACCTATGAAGTGACTTGGTGGTTGGCAAAGGTACCAATGCAATTCTATTGAGAAAGAGTGCTCATTTCAATAAATGGTACCAAAGTATATGAATAACCATATGAAAAAAATTGAACCTTCGGTCCTACCTCACATAGTATATATTTAAAAATTCTAGGTGGATTACAGACGTAAATGTGAAATACTCAACAGAGAAGCTTCTAGCAGGAAACACTGAGAGTGCCTACATGACCTTGGGATAGGCAAACATTTTTTAAGCTAAAGACAATAGATACACTAACTGTAAAAAAAATACTAAATTGTACTTCATATATACATATGTGTGTGCATAAATATATTCTTCGTTAAAAAACTAAGAAAGTTAAGAGACAAGCCACAGAATGGAAGAAGAAATTTCCAAATGAATATATCCAGCAAAGAACTCATATCTACAATATATTTTGAGATACCTTTATAAATTAATAAGATAAATGCAAACAAGAATACAAATGTGAACAAAAAACTTGAACAGGCACTTCACCAAATGAAATTACCTAAATTGTTAATTAGCACATGAAAAAGTGGTCAGTATCATTAATCATCAGAGAAATGTAAACTAAAACTACAATGTACTATTACTACACAACCCACCTGAAGAATGGCTAAAATTAAAAACTTTGACAATACTAAGTGTTGAAAAAGACACAGAGCAACTGTAATTCTCATATTGCTAACGGTATGTAAATTGGCAAAACCACTGAGGAAAATTCTCCATCTGTATCTTCTAAATCCTGTATGCCTATCCTCTGACCCAGCAATTCCACTTCTAGGTATATAACCCAGGAAAATGAATGTATATGTCCACCAAAAGAGATGTATAAGAAGGTGCATAGCAGCTCTTTTCTTAGTAGCTGATGAATAGAAATAGTTAAAGTGTCTACCATCAGCAGAATGGATAAACACATTATTGAATATTCAGACAATGAAATACTACACAGAAATTAAAAAAGAATGACTGCTGCTAACCACAGCAGCATGGATGAATCACAGATATGAAAGAAGGCAAATACCAAAGTGCATGTACTGTGAGATTTCATTTATAGCAAGTTCACGAACATGTAAAACTAATCTATGAGATAGAAGACATTAAAATGGTAGCATCATGGTGTGGGGGTGAGATCAGCTGGAATGAGGATGAGGGAGGATTCAGGGGTTCTAGAAATGATCTATATCTTGATCTGAGGATTGATTACACAGCATAAATAAATGAAAATTCATCAAGCTATAAACTTAAAATTTGTATACTTTATTTATTTTATCTATATTTCCTTTTCAAGGCACTGTTCTATGGTTTAAAATGTACATCCTTACCTCATCATCATTTACCTTCAAATAGTGTTATTCCACTTCACATATACTGTGAGAACCTTTCAGCAGTATATTTCCATTTCTCATTCCCTTTCTTTGTGTCCTTGTTGTTGTTCATTTTACTTCTACAGGTTATAAACTCCCATGATGCCTGCAATGTTTTGCTTTAAACAGTTAATAATCTTTTATAGGATATTTTTAAACTGAAAAATAAGGGTTTTGTATTTATCCACATATTTACCATATCTAGAACTCTTCATTTTGTATTGGTACAAATTTCCATCTGGTATCATTGTCCTTCTGTCTGAAGAGCTTCCTTTAACACATTTTGGACTTATAATAAATTCAATTTTTCTTTGTCTGGAAAAGTCTTTATTGTGCCTTCACTTTTTTTTTTTTTTTTTTGAGACAAAGCCTTGCCCTGCTGTCCAGGCCGAAGTGCAGTGGTGCAGTCTCTGCTCATTGCAACCTCCGCATCCCATGTTCAAGTGATTCTTGTGCCTCAGCATCCCAAGTGGCTGGGATTACAGGTGCGTGCCACCACACCTTGTTGATTTTTTGTCTTTTTAGTAGAGACGAGGTTTTGCCACGTTGGCCAGGCTCGTCTTGAACTCCTGACCTCAGGTTATCCACCCGTCTTGGCCTCCCAAAGTGCTGGGATTACAAACATGAGCCACTGTGCCTGGCCTATGCCTTCACTTTTAAAAGATAATTTTACTGGGTATAATATTCCATACCGACAGTTGTTTTTTGGTTGGTTTTCTTTTTCTTTTCCTTTTTCTTTTTCTTTTTTTTTTTTTTCTGAGACAGAGTCTCACTCTGTTGCCCAGGCTGGAGTGCAGTGGCGCGATTGCTGCTCACTGCAAGCTCTGCCTCCCGGGTTCATGCGATTCTCCTGTCTCAGCCTCCCGAGTAGCTGGAACTACAGACACCCGCCACCACGCCTGGCTAATTTTTTTGTATTTTTTAGTAGAGACAGGGTTTCACCGTGTTTGCCAGGATGGTCTTGATCTCCTGACCTTGTGATCCACCCGCCTCGGCCTCCCAAAGTGCTGGGATTACAGGCGTGAGCCACCGCGCCCAGCCTGGTTTTCTTTTTCTTTTAGCTCTTTAAGGAAGATTTACTACTATCTTCTGGTTTTCTATTTTCTCACAAGAAGCTGTTTATCATTCTTATCTTTGTTTCTCTTTATATAAAATGTATTTTCCCCCCTTTGGCTGCTTTGAAGATTTTCTCTTCACCACTGGTTTTTAATAAGTTGGTTATTCTATGTCCTGCTGTTTATTTTCTTTGTTTCTTCTGCTTATGATTCATTGAACTTGTTAGGTCCAGTTTTCATTAAATGTAGAAAAACTTTGGCCATTTTGTTTTAAATTTTCTGTCCCTACCTCTTCTCTTACTGAGACTTTAATTACTCATATATTAGACTATTTAATATTATCCCATAACTCACTGAGGTTCTGCTCTCTTTTTCTTTCTTTGCTTTTTTTTGTGTGTATTTTTGTCTCTGTGCTTCATTTTGGGTTGTTTTTATTGTTTTCTCTTCAAGTTCACTAGCATTTTTTTCAGCAGCATGATATGGTTTGGCTCTGTGCCCCACCTAAATCTCATGTTGAATTGTAATCCCCGCTGTTGGAGGTGGGGCCTGGCAAAAGGTGCCTGGATCATGGGGGTGGTTTCTAATGATTTAGCACCATCCGCCTTGCTGTCCTCATTATAGAGTTCTCACAAAATCTGGTTGATTAAAAGTGTGTAGCACTTCCCCCTTTGCTCTCTCTCTCTCCTGCTTCTCTGCCATATGAGGATAGTGCTTGCTTCCCCCTTGGCCTTCCACCATGATTGTAAGTTTCTTGACACCTCCCCAGAAGCAGAAGTCTGTTCAGCCCACACAACTGTGAGCTGATTAAATCTCTTTTCTTTATAGACTACCTAGGCTCAGGTAGTTGATAGCAGTGTAGAACAGACTGATACAAGTGTCTAATCTGTTGTTAAGCCTAGCGGTGCATTTTCTATTTCAGATATTATAATTTTTATCTCTACAAGTTTCATTTTTAATTTTTAAAATATGTTTCTTTCTCTCCCATTGTATTGTTTCCATCTACATTCTTGAGAACCTCTTTATAACAGTTGTTTTAACTTCCATTTCTGCTCTTCCCATCATCTCTCCATTTCCACGTCTGTTTCTATTCGTTGATTTCTCCTTGTTGTGGGTCATATTCTTCTGCTTCTTTGCATTCCTCGTAATTTGTGATTGAATGTCACTACTTTTACATTGTGAATGTGATGTGTTGGGTGCTGGGTTTTGTTAGATTCCTTTAAACAGTGGTTTAGTTTTTTCTGAGATGCAGTTAAGTTACTTGTAATAAACTTGATCCATTCAAGACTTGGTTTTAAGCTTTTCTTGGGACAGATCTACATGGAGTGATTGATTATTCTAGTTTGCCTGGGATTAAGGAGTTTTCCAAGACATGGGACTTTCACTGTAAAACTGGGATTGAAGAGTTTCTGAGAAATGGGACTTTTAGTTTTAAAGCTGAGAAAGCCCAAGGCAAACCGGGACAAACTGGTCGTCCTAGATCCAGAGCATGCTGTTGGCCAGGGATAATTCAGTCCCACTATGAAATTTTGAGTAACCTACCCATTTGACAAGGTCTTTACCCTCTAGCTGGTGAGCACATGGGTTCTTCCCAGCTCTGTGGATTCTGGAGATTGTTTCCTAATGGCTTTTTCCTGGCCTTGATTACTTTCCTTTCATGTATGCTCAAATTAGTTACTCAGCGAAAGACATAGATCTCCCTGGAGTTTGTGAGGTTTTTTGTTTGTTTGTTTGTTTGTTTGTTTTATTTTTTCTCTGCAGATTCATCTTTTCCTATACTCTGTCCTGCAAATTTTAGCTGCCATGGCTACCCTGAACTTCAATCTTTGTATCCTTAACTCAGTGAAACTGATGAACTCTGCCTTCTCCCATGCTGTTCTGCTGCCTGGAAACTGCCTCTAGGCAGTAAGCTAGGATAAACATAGGGATAATTTTGTTCCCTCTTACAGGAATCATAGTCCTGAAATGCCTGTTGTCTAGTTCCTGAAAACTGATATGTAATGCAGTTTGTCTGGCTTTATTGTTGTTTAAGATGGGAGTGTATATGTAATCTCTGGTACTTCATTGTTGCCATATGCAGAAGTCTTTACATTTCACACCTCCATATATTTTTTAAATGTATATGTTATAAATACTTGAAGGAGTTGTTCTTTTTCAGGGTACACCAGTTTGGATGCTTTCAGTTTAAGCTTACTAAGACAATGGAATATTTGAAAATAATAATGGCAACTATTTACTGAGTCTCAGCCCTGTGCTGGATGTTTCATATACATTGTCTTGAATCATCACAAAAACATTTAAAGATAGATATTATTGATATCATTACCTCTGTTTTAAAGATATCAAAATTGATATTCAAATCAGTAACTTCACTAAACTCATCAGCTAGTATATTGAACAGCTTACATGTGAATGTAGTCTCTCTGAGTACTCATTTGTCCATACCACAGTGCCTAATGTGTAGTATTAAAATGTTATCCCACCAGCTGGGCACAGTGGCTCACGCCTGTAATCCCAGCACTTTGGGAAGCTGAGGCGGGTGGATCGCCCTGAGGTCAGGAGTTTGAGACCAGCCTGGCCAACATGGTGAAACCCTGTCTCTACTAAAAATACAAAAATTAGCCGGGCGCGGTGGCGGGTGCCTGTGATCTCAGCTGCTTAGGAGGCTGAGGCAGGAGAATTGCTTGAACCTGGGAGGTGGAGGTGGCAGTGAGCTGAGATCACGCCGTTGCACTCCAGCCTGCGCAACAAGAGTGAAACTCCATCTCAAAAAAAAAAAAAAAAAAATACCATACCAAAAGCCTTAGAGGTCAAAATAATTTGTGGTGAAAAGGTTAGCTCATGCAGAATATTTAAGTAATTCTGATAGTAGCGTTTTTTGCGATATAGGTGAATAACTAATTTGTTATTTTGTGTGTGTGTGTGTGAGAGAGAGAGAGAGAGAGAGAGAAAGAGAGAGAGAGAATGAGTCTAGGTGCAGATTTCTATGCGCATGTTTTTGGTGAAGTGAATAAAGGAGCTTTACCTGGCCACATTGACCTTCTTCGAGCCCTGGTGACTTTGAATATGATACTGAAATTGCATTCAATTCCCAAAGTTATTATTTTAATTTGCTAGGTTCCACAATTACCATACACTTAGTGGCTTAAAACAACAGAAATTTATTTTCTTCCAGTTCTGGAGGCCAAAATTCCCAAATCAAGGTTTCAGCAGAGCTGCACACCCTCTGAAGGCTCCAGGGGAGACCTTCCTTGGCTCCTCCAGCTTCTAGTGACTCTCAGCATTTCTTGGCTTGTGGCAGCATCACTCCATCTCTGCTGCCATCTTCCCATGATCTTCTTTCCTGTGTCTTTCTGTCTTTTCCTCGTCTCTTCTCTTCTAAGGACTTGTTAGTGGATTTAGTGTGCCTCCCCCGCAACTCCCACCAGTCTAAGATGATTTCATCTGATATCCTTAACTGGATTACATCTGAAAAGACCCTAGTTCCCAAAGAGGTCACATTCACAGGTATCAGAGGTTAGGACTTGGACATAGCTTTTTGAGGAATACAATTCAATTCACTACAATTTTCATGAGAGTCTTCCAAATGGCTGCTCTTTCATATTCTACCAGAAAGGCTATCAAGCTATCTTGAAGGGAAGGTGGTTTGGACACCTCTGTGTTCATTTCCATGGTGCTGAAGGTTTTAGACAGTTAAATAACAGAAGAATGCCCTTTTACTTTGCTAGGCCACCTTTCTGCTTGATCCCACGGAAGCTGGCTACCTTGCAACCCAGGCAGTTATCTCCTGTAATTATTCATAAACCACAACTGAGAAATAACTCTAGACACCCACATCTGAACAAGATGAACCTCTAACTTGTACATCCAAGCCTGAGTGTGACTTCTCTCCAGGTATCTCTCTTTCCATTTGGGCAGCGAGACAGCCCTTGGGTCCTTGCCACTTTTGAGTCAGAGATTCTATCTTCCAAGATTCTGTTTCACTCCCTCTCTGCATATATTTGGTGACCAGGTATCCTGTTTTGCAACTTTCTTCTAATGTCTTTTTATCTGCGCACATAAGCAACAACTTTTCTTCTTAATTCTTCTTTGTGACCTTGCCAACTAAGAATCTTGAACATGATGGGACTGAATGTTTAAGGCATTAAACTTAATAACTAGGCCATTACCACTATTTACTAACCTGGACTCATTCACAGTGATCTTTTCGCCTTGCCACAGCATAATGAGGTTATTAATTACAGCAAGAGGCGTAAGTACTCCCGGTTTGCTCTAATGCTATCTGGGGAGATGGCTGGGTCTTTGGTCATAATTCCTGTTAAATGACTCCAAGGAGATACAGTTAAGTTGCCATGAAATGATATTTCCCTTCAATGTAAACTTTTTTCTTTAAATGGGTTGTTTTTAGGTCCCTAAAATTCCCAGTTATAAGCCACCTAATGCCTCATTCAGCTGAACAGTGGGGGCCATGGAGTGTGGCAGTTAAAAGCACAGGGCCAGCTGAGCGTGGTGGCTCACACCTCTAATCCCAGCACTTTGGGAGTCCGAGGCGGGCGGATCACGAGGTCAGGAGTTCAAGACCAGCCTGGCCAACATGGTGAAACCCCCTTTCTACTAAAAAACAAACAAACAAACAAAAATTAGCTGGGTGTGGTGGCAGATACCTGTAATCCCAGCTACTCGGGAGGCTGAGGCAGGAGAATTGCTTGAAACTGGAAGGCAGAGGTTGCAGTGAGCCGAGATTGAGCCACTGCACTCCAGCCTGGGTGAAAGAGTGAAACTCTGTCTGAAAACAACAACAACAACAAAAACACAGGCCCTGGTGCCACACCGCCTGGGTTTGAATACCAGCTCTGCTACCTACTATATGATGCTGTGCATGTTATTTGATCTTTTTCTGCCTCCATTTCCTCATCTGGACAAGCATGAGGATTAAATGAATTCATATGTGTAAAATGCTTAGGCCGGTACCTGGCACATAGTGAGTGCTTCATACATGTGAGTGGTTATGTTTATCCATTAAACCCAAAGAAATTGCTTTTGGCATCTACTGTGTATAAGGCACAGTTTGGTGCTATGCATTTTAGCCGATAGCATTATAGGTTGACTTGTCACCCCCAAAATTCATATGTTGAAGTCCTAACCCACAGTAGAATGTGACTTTATTTGGAGATAGGGTCTTTAAAGAGGTAATCAAGTTAAAGTGAGGCTATTAAAGTGAGGGTAGTGTATATGACTGGTGTCCTTATAAGAACAGGAGCTTTGGATATAGAAGGAGGACAATGTAAGAAGACACAGGGAGCAGATGGCCATCTACAAGCCAAAGAGAGAGGTCTGGAACACATCCTTCCCTTATAGCCCTCAGCAGGAACCAGCCCTACCAGCACCTTGATTTTGGACTTCTAGCCTCCAAAACTGTGGAGAATGAATTTATGCTGTTTAAGCCACCTATTACAGCAGCCTTGGGAGACTAAGACAGGTGGTTATAGTGAGAAATCCCAGGGAGCATGTCATCTGGTAAGAGGGATGTATTCCATGGGACTCTGGTTGTAAGCAACAGAAATCCATGAAAGCTCATTTAAACAAATAGGCAACCCAAAAGATGAACTCACAAAATCCAAAGGTAGGTCTGTAGCTGGCACATAAACATCCCCATCTCTTGCCCCTGCCCCTCTCTTGGTGACTGTGACATTCCTCCCTCTCTCTGTCTCTCTCCACCCTGGTTTTCTGTGCTTTGCCAGTGCAGATGACAGAAAACATGGTTTGTGCATTAAAGATACAACCACCTAGAAAGAAACTGCATGACTCACTCATCAGTTTCAAACTCTCAGGGAAGAGTATCTCATTCTTCCACCCCGAGTCAGATGCTTACCCCATCAACTGTGACCAAAAGGGCAGTATGTCAATGAACAAACATGGTGCTGCTGCTGTAACCAGATGGATGGAGCAAGAGGAGGGGCCATTACCAAGAGAAGAAAACTGGGCATATGACCAGGGTGGGGGGTGGGTCCGTTAATAGAGAGAAATAATCACCGAGTCATGATGCCATACCACTGTAGAGCATGAAGGTGAGAAAATCTAGAGAAAATGTCCCATCAAACAGCATCTGCAGAGTCATGATGCCATACTACTGTAGAGCATGAAGGTGAGAAAATCTAGAGAAAATGTCCCATCAAACAGCATCTGCAGAGTCATGATGCCATACTACTGTAGAGCATGAAGGTGAGAAAATCTAGAGAAAATGTCCCATCAAACAGCATCTGCAGAGTCATGATGCCATACTACTGTAGAGCATGAAGGTGAGAAAATCTAGAGAAAATGTCCCATCAAACAGCATCTGCAGAGTCATGATGCCATACTACTGTAGAGCATGAAGGTGAGAAAATCTAGAGAAAATGTCCCATCAAACAGCATCTGGCATGTTCTGGTCTTGGAGCTGGAATTGCCTCTTCCACCTTCAAAGAGGCAGAAATTAGCAAGGATTAAAAGCATAGGTCCTTGAATCAGAGACACATGGGCTTCAATCCAGTTTGGCCTTGTATTAATTGTGCTGCCTTGGACATGCCACCAGGCCTCTTAGAGCCTCAGCTTCCTCATCTTTCAAAAAGAAAGATGAAAATAATATCGGCAACTTCCTAAGTTTGAGGGGAGCTTTAAAGGTGTACTTTGTACCTCTAAGTACCCAATATGTGTTAACCGTTGTTACCACCGTTGGTATTTGATGAATCCTTTTTTGCTTTGCTTTATTCTTCAGGCTGAATTCTCAGAGTTGAACCTAGCTGCCTATGTGACCGGGGGCTGCATGGTGGACATGCAGGTCGTGAGAAATGGGACCAAAGTGGTGAGGTAAGTAGGATTAAAATATGCAGAACCTTCTGAGAATTGCATACGTGGAACCTCATGTAGCCCACCCCTCCGTCCACTTCCTGCGACCTAACTCCTTTGCCACATGTACTTTCCTGTACAGAATGTCTGCTTCCCAGGTGTGGTTGCAGTAGTAATGACCAGCGGCACATATCATACGTGCAGCACCTGTGGTGTCCCCAAGTGAGCCCTGGGCTTGGAGAGAAAAGACTTGGGTTCCATTTCTGGCTTTGAGGCTCTGCTCTGGCATATTATTTAGTCCCTTTTGTCCTCTACTTCTCATCTGCAGCATGATGATATGCACTGAAGTTAGAGGCTGCTAAAGTTTACAGAAACTCACATGTATGACAGCACCCTGTTAACTCTGAAGTGCGGTACGAATGGAAGGTTTATTAGAATAAATGAAATTCAACTTCCTGCAATATGGCAGACTAAGTGTTCATAGAATCTTCTCCAAGTAGACCAAAACTAAAAGCACTAGATATATAATATGTTCAGAAATCTGTTTGTAATTTATGCTGAATTGGAGAGCAAGTGAGGGGTTTCTTCAGAAGCCAAAAATGACAAGAATGTATAAATCCATAGGCGAGATAAACACATGTATGAATACATTGCTATCTAGTTAAGTACCCAGAGAACGATACACACTAGGTCTCATGAGGGTTTAGAGAAGGAAGAGACAGGATTCAGATTTGGGGAAGGAGGGAAAACAGGAAAAGCTTTGAGGAAAAGGTAACATTTGTTCTGAGCCTGGTCCAATGGTAGAATGTGGACATTCTCAGGCTGGGTGTAGGGAAAGAGAAGTATATCCTAAGAGTAGGAAACAGCCTCTGCAAATAAAGACAGATCCAAAAAAAAAGGTGCATGTTTGGTATATTAGTCCTTTTTCATGCTGCTGATAAAGACATATACTCGAGACCGGGTAATTCATAAAGAAAAAGAGGCTTACTGGACTCACAGTTCCACGTGGCTGAGGAGGCCTCACAATCACGGTGGAAGGTGAAAGGCATATCTTACCTGATGGCAGACAAGAGAGAACGAGAGCCTGTGCAGGGAAACTCCCCTTTATAAAACCGTTAGATCTCTTGAGACTTACTCACTAACACGAGAACAGCATGAGAAAGACCCGCCCCCATGATTCAATTACCTCCCACCAGGTCCCTCCCATGACACATGGGAATTGTGGGAGCTACAATTCAAGATAAGATTTGGGTGGGGACACAGCCAAACCATATCATTTGGTAAATTATGATAATTCAACTAATTCAGCCATTCTTTATTGAGTGCCTACTGTATGCCATGAAAGACATTTGGCTTCCTATTTCCAGTAACGGTGGGCTAGGTCATTTGGACCAGCTTTTCCCCTGAAAACAACGTAAAAACTGATACTAAATAATTACAGTCTTTAAAGGCCTTCTAAGAGTTGGTGTGACAGTAAGGAATTACCAGGAAGAGACTGATGGGAAAATGAAAACCCAGACAGGTAAATGAGTACAAAGCCACCTGTATCCTGAGAGTATTCACTAGATCAGCCAAATTTGCAACTGGTTTTGAGAGCTTAGTGGAGGCAAGGGAGACAGAAATCAACACTCAGGGCCACTCACAATAGGGAGTGTAACAGTAGACCCTCTCCACAATAAGCTGAGATTCCCCAAAGGACTACAGCTTCTAGGTGAACATGAATTACAAGTAGGTGAGCCCTCACAAGTACTTGCAGCTTGAATTGCAGTTTGAATACCCCAGCCCTCCAGGAAACCTCAGGCATTGAACTTGGTTTATGGTGATCCCAGACATGCCAGAAATAAAAGCAAATCCTATGTAAAGGAAGGCACTTTCAAGCTAGGCTTCAAATGATCCTTCAAATAATTTTTTTGTATAATAGCTAGTACGTAGTCAAAGATAACCAGGTGAAACAGGAACAATAGACAATGGAGACAGAACCTCAAAGACAGAAGACATTAGAATTATCACACAGGTTATTTTTAAAAACTATACATATCAAATTGAAAAAAATCAGGTATGGAGATATCTGCGGAGAAAAGGACACTAAAAAAAGTTATATAACCAGGTTTTTGTGTTTGTTTGTTTTGAGATGGAGTTTCGCTCTTGTTGCCCAGGCTGGAGTGCAATGGCATGATCTTGGCTCACTGCAACCTCCGCCTCCCAGGTTCAAGCAATTCTTCTGCCTCAGCCTCCCGGGTAGCTGGGATTACAGACATGCACCACCACACCAGGCTAATTTTGTATTTTTAGTAGAAACAGGGTTTTGCCATGTCGGTCAGGCTGGTCTCAAACTCCTGACCTGAGGAGATCCCCCGGCCTTGGCCTCCCAAAGTGTTGGAATTACAGGTGTGAGCCACCGCGACCAGCCGATACAACCATTTTTTTTTTAAACACAACTTCTGGAAATGAAAACTACAGTAATCAAAATTATTGTGTTTAACATCACATTAGACATGGCTGAAAAAGCGTTTATGAAATGAAAGGTACAGCTGAAGAGATTATCCTGAAGGAAGCACAGAGAGAAAAAGATCGGAGGTGCAGGAAAGACTGTTAGATTCTAGGAGAGGGCCTAATATTCATTTAATCAGAATCTCAAAAGAGAGAGGTAAAAGAGAATAGAGCAGAGACAGTATTTGAAGAAATGATTGTTTTGGAAAGATACCAAACCACCGAAAGCAGAAGCTTGGCAAATTTCAAGCGGATAAATAAAAATAATTCCACACCAAGACTCAATAGTGATATTTAGAAAGAAAAAGCCAGAGGAAAAAAGGCAGATTACAGATGGTCCCCAATTTACAATGGTTTGACTTATGATTTTTTGACTTTGTGATGATGCAAAGTGACACTCATTCAGCAGAGCATTAATAAATTGCATGAGATCTTCAACACTTTATTATAAAATAGACTTTTTGTTCAAAGATTTTGCCCAACTGTAGGCTAATGTAAGTGCTCTGATAATGTCTAAGGTAGGCTAGGCTAAGCGATGATGTTTGGTAGGTTAGGGGTAATAAATGCATTTTCTTTTTTTCTTTTTTTTTTGAGACGGAGTCTCGCTCTGTCGCCCAGGCTGGAGTGCAGTGGTGCGATCTCGGTTCACTGCAAGCTCTGCCTTCCAGGTTCACACCCTTCACCTGCCCCAGCCTCCCAAGTAGCTGGGACTACAGGCGCCCACCACCATGCCCAGCTAATTTTTTGTATTTTTAGTACAGACGGGGTTTCACCGTGTTAGCCAGGATGTTCTCCATCTCCTGACCTCATGATCCTCCCACTTTGGCCTCCCAAAGTACTGAGGTTACAGGTGTGAGCCACTGCGCCCGGCCAATAAATGCATTTTCAACTTAGGATATTTTCAGTTTACAATGGGTTTATTGGGATGCAGCCCCTTTGTAAGTTAAGGAACATCTGTACTTTTGTTAAAGTAACAGACTGGCAGCTTCCTGAGAACAGTGGTGGAAAAATGTCTTCAGTGTGCTGAGAGAAATTAATTGCCAACCTATAATTCTATCCTCAGAGAAACATCTTTTATGAATGATGGCAAAATAAAAACATTTACAGACCTTCACAAAGGGAAACTGTAAAGTATGTATGTACTTTAGGCAAAAATAAAATGACCTCAGATTAACGTAGAGCTGCAAGATTATATGAAGGGCAAAGAAAGTGGTGTTAATAGGTATTGTCTTCAAAAGACAATAAAATAATTTTATGGATTTAAAAATATATGAAGGATTAAAATATACAACATTAAGTTAGTAGAGATTGAGGGTAAATGGAATTAAGATATTCTGAGGCCCTTGTATTGTCAGGGAAGAAAGTAAACATGGCCAGGTGTGGTGGCTCACGCCTGTAAATCCCAGCACTTTGGGAGGCCAGGTGGGTGGATTGCCTGCACTCAGGAGTTTGAGACCAGCCTGGGCAACATGGTGAAACTCCATCTCTATGAAAAATACAAAAAAATAGCAGAAATCCTCCCAGCTACTCAGGGAGGCTGAATTGGTAGAATTGATTGAGCCCGGGGAGGTCAAACCTGCAGTGAGCTGTGATCACGCCACTGCACTTTAGCCTGGGTGACAGAGAAACATCTTGTCTCAAAAAAAAAAAAAAAAAAGTAAATATATTAATAGCAGGCTTTAAAAACCAACACAGAACAGGTGTTGTAAATAACACAAAGTAAATGGTTGATTTACACCCAATATAACAGCAGGTCTGATCTGATATCATTCTGAATTGCTTATACAGCAGTGCTGGTTATTAAAATATTGAAACTTTTCTATACCGGTAGGTAAATAGCCATTGCCTTGAGCCTACTGAGTGACTTCAGCCACCTTAACCCCATGAGACTGTTCCTGTGTCCCCCAGTCCACCACACTCCTGTCCCCAAGCCCATATTCTTGTTCTCCCCTGGCCACAGGATGCCCAGACATTGTAGGGAAGAACCTCAGAAGTAGTAGTGGAACCCCAGAGAGTGAATGCTTGGTTTCTCCTGTCTCTTCAAGGCTATAAATGCCTGTGCATCTTCTGGATTCGCCCTCTCATGGTCATTTGTGAGAACTGCAAACCCCACAAAGTACTCTGGGAGTTGTTAAATATTTGTGTCACCAGTGTATGTATACCAATAATTACATTAAATGTAAATGGACTAAATGCACTAATTAAAGAGAAGAGTTATCAGTGTAACTTTTAAAAAATCTAAATGTTTTCCATTCAAGACATTCATCTAAAATATAAGCATATAGAAAATTTGAAAGTTAAAGAAAGGGGAAAAATATACCATGCAACTGTGCAGCAAAAGAAAGCTCACTGATGCAGCTGCATTAATGTCTGGGGGAAAAAATAGACTCGAAGGTGAAAAGCATTACTAGGGAAAAGGAAGTAATTTATTATGATAAAGATTCATTTACTTAGAAGAAATAATTTTAAATGTATAAGCACTATATAAAAATACCTCAAGATATACTTCAAAAATGGACAAAACTATAAGGAGACATAAAGAAGTTCCTGATTATTGGAGATTAGGAGAATAATGCTAAATATATACTTTCATGTACTTCTTCATAGCACCCTCATTTTGCACACAAGTACTATAAAAAGCCTAAAATGCTATTGTTTAGGAATCTGTGCTCATATTTGGTATTTTTTGTACTCGTGTCTGCTTCCCTATTTGGTAGGGTGGCTGGATCTCCTTCATTTGTAACAGGTAAAAACAAGAACATCTATCCCGGCTGGGCACAATGGCTTACGCCTGTAATCCCAGCACTTTGGGAGGCCAAGGTGGGCAGATTGCTTGAGATCAGGAGTTTGAGACAAGCCTGGGCAATATGGCAAAACCCTGTCTCTAATAAAAATGCAAAAATTATCCAGGTGTGGTGGTGTGCGCCTGTAGTCTCAGCTATTTGAGTGGCTGAGGCATGAGAATCACTTGAACCTGGGAGCGGATGCTGCAGTGAGCCACTGCAGTGAGCCTGGATGACAGATTGAGACCCTGCCACAAAAAAAAAAAAAAAAGAACAACTATCCCATTGGTCCTCAGATTTAGCTACAGATTAGAATCACCTAGGAATTATTTTAAAATCCTGATACCCAAGCAGTGTCCCAGACGTATTGCACTGGAATCTCTGAGGGTGGGATTTAGGTATTCATATTTTTAAAGCTCCCCTCGTGATTCTAGTGGCAGCCAAAGTAGGAAACATCCCCAGATTGTTCTCAACATGGCCCTGCACTGAGGCAGGACGGGCTGAAAAGCTGAGGACACTCCTAGGTATGCTGCCTGAACACAAGAATCACTTTGCAAAAATAGACATCTTCAAGTCTTATTCTAGACCTGCCATATTCTTCCTGAATTTACAACATTGTTTACAAAAATAAAGTTACAGAAATGTTCCAGGTATTTGCTAATTGGCAGTTCTTCCAGCATTCAGGAATGGCAGACTTTGAAGGCAGTTGTTATGAGATGAATTATGCTCCCCTGGAAAAAGATGAAGTCTCAACTCGTAGTACCTCAGAACGTGACCTTACTTAGAAATAGCATTGTTGCAGATGTGATGATTAAGGTGCAGTTATACTGGAGTAGTGTGAGCCCTTAATCCAATATGACTGGTGTCCTTATAAGAA
This sequence comes from Homo sapiens, assembly GCF_000001405.40. Taxonomy (NCBI): domain Eukaryota; kingdom Metazoa; phylum Chordata; class Mammalia; order Primates; family Hominidae; genus Homo; species Homo sapiens. Next base: position 32,925,260 of record NC_000022.11, on the reverse strand, counting down.
GAGGGAAATTTAGACACGGGAAAACACCCTGTGATGTTGGAAGCAGAGACTGGGGAGATACATTGACAAACCAAGAATTGCTGACAATCATCAGAAGCTAGGAGACAGGCATCTCCTGCCAAACCCTCAGAAAGAAAACCAACTCTGCCAATAGCTTTTTTTTTTCCTTGAGACAGGGTCTCTCTCTGTCACCCAGGCTGGGGTACAGTGATGCGATCACTGCTCACTGCAGCCTCAACCTCCTGGGCTCAAGCGGTCCACCCACCTCAGCCTCCTGAATAGCTGGGACTACAGGCACATGCCACCATGCCTGCCTAAGTTTTAAATTTTTGGTGGAGATGGGGTCTTGCTCTGTTGCCCAAGCTGGTATCGAACTCCTGAGCTCAAGCGATCCTCCCACCTTGGCCTCCTAACGTGCTGGGATTACAGGCATAAGCCACCAAGCCCAGCCTGCCAACACCTTGATTTTGGACTTCTAGCCTCTAGAACCATGAGAGAATAAATTTCTCTTGTTTAAAGTCATTAAGTTTGTGGTCCCTTGCTACAGCAGCCCTAGAAAATGAATATAGCAGTGCCTCTTGAAATTTAATGTGTTTACACACCTCTGGGAGATCTCATGTTAAAATGCAGATCTTCATCCATTATGTCTTCAGGTATGGCCTGAGATTTTGAGTTTTCTTTGAGCTCCCAGATGAAGCCAGTGCATCTGGTCTTGCAGGTTCAGTTTGAGCAGCAAGGATGTGAACAAGCTCCTGGATGCTGCTGATGCTGCTGTTGGAAGATCACATTTTGAGTAGCCAGGGCTGTGAAGACAGTGCCAGTATAGCTAAAGGCCTGGGTTCAGGGACCCATATGGCTGTTGAGATTTATTCTGTCTCATGCCCAGGATGGTGCTTACAATCTCAGCCAGGTAGCTCACTTTAGCAAGATTTGTTACAGGATGTCAGACCCATGAGAATGTGCACACACACTAAGTAGCCTGTGACTCAGTGTGTCCTTCAGTGGGGGGAATCAGTAGAATCTTCCAAAGTACCATTTGATCCAGCAATCCCATTACCGAGTATATACCCAAAGAAATATAAATCATTCTACCATAAAGACACATGCATGCAAATGTTCATTGCAGCACTAGTCACAATAGCAAAGACGTGAAATCAACCTAAATTCCCATCAGTGGTAGACTGGATAAAGAAAATGTGGTACATATACATGGAATACTATCCAGCCATAAAAAAGAAGGAGATCATGTCTTTTGTGGGAGCATGGATGGAGCTGGAGGCCATTACCTTAGCAAACTAACACAGGAACAGAAAACCAAATACCACATGTTCTCATTTATAAGTGGGAGCTAAATGATGAGAACTCATGGACACAAAGAGAACAACAGATACTGAGGCCTACTTGAGGGTGAAGGGTGGGAGGAGGGAGAGGATCAGAAAAAATAACTATTGAGTACTAGGCTTTGTATCTGGGTGACAAAATAATCTGTACAGCAAACCCCTATGACACAAGTTTACTGGTATAACAAACCTGCACATGTAACCCTGAACCTAAAATAAAAGTTTAATAAACAAATAAATAAAAACAGTGGAATCTTCCACAGGCATATAGGGCCATAACAAGTCCTAGCTATGGTCTCCCAAAATAGGAATGTTAAACAGTGCTCTTGACTTGCTGTGTATTCTTTCAAAGACATGTAGACGTTGTATTGAAATTGCCTGTAAGCACTTCCAGTATGCATTGTGACCAAGGTCTAGATCTCCCGAAGTCTTGCTCACAAGGAGCAACTTCAGGAATGGTGATGTGATGGTTAATTTACCCAGAGGGCTGGTAAAACTTTATTTCTTGTTGCGTCTGTGAGGGTATTTCTGGAAGAGCGTTGGAATCAGTAGGCTCATCAAGGAAGATCTTCCCTCACCGTGTGGTCAGACAGCATCCAATCCGCTGGGGGTCCCACTAGAACAAAAAGACAGAGGAAGAGCTAAATCTCTCTCTCTTGACCTGGGACACCTGTCTTCTCCTGCCCTTGGACATCAACGCTCCTGGTTCTTAGGCCTTCAGACTTCAAGACTGATGCCAGCAGCCACCCAATTCTCAAGACTCCAGCCATAGACTGGGAAATTATACGGTTGACACTCCTGGTTCTCAAGCCTTCAAACTCAGACCAAATCACACTATGAGCTTTCCTGGTTCTCCAGCTCACAGCCAGCATCTTGTGGAACTTGTCAGCCTCTGTAATCATGTGAGCCAATCCCCATAATAAATCTCCTCTTTGATATATCCTGTTAGTTCTGTTTCTCTGGAGAACCCTGACTAATATAGGTGACCAGGATGGATGGCAGAGAAGATCATTGCTGGCTTTCTCCAGCTTCCATTCCTTCTGCTTTGGCAAACAGCACCTAGGATTCCATTGAGGTGACCCCCTCCCCAACTTGCAGTCTGTGTGGTGTGTGCAGCTGATGGCACATGACTAGCCCCAGTCAATTGGAATATCTCACTGGGACCCAAGCCAGGCCAGTGCCAGAACTCTTGGATGAAAGGCACATGTTTTCTGCTGGGACCACAGAGCGGATGGGATGTATGTCTGGAGCTGCTGGTGGCCATCTCTCTCCTTGAGTGAACAATCTGCCAAGAATGAAGCCAAGGTAAAGGAACACACAGCCAAGCAGAGAGACGATGCCCTGATGATGTTATTCAAGGCTCTGGATCCGGACTTAGTTGAGCCAAAAAAAATCCCTTTTTGTTTAAGCCAGCTTGAATTGCACATACAAAATTCATGAACTTTTATTTATTTAGCAAACACTTTTATAGCATTTCCTACGTGCTAGGCACTGCTCCAAGCACTTAACATGAATTAACTCATTTCATCCTTTCGACAACCCTATAGGGTGTGTGCTATTAAAATCACCATTTTATAGATAAAAAGGCTGAAACACCAATGGATGGGGTAATGACATCCAGTTCTCCAGCCAATAAGTGGCAAAGCTAGGATTCAAGCCCAAGGCAGTCTGGCTCCAAGGCCTGTGTGTGGCAAGGGGCAGAGCTGCTTAAAGAAGCCATATGTCTCCTACTATGAATGCCATGCAAGAGTACAATCGAACAACGACATGGAAGAAAAATATGGAGAGGATCCATGCATCTGACTTTTAGGTGGGGAACAAGGAAAAGTCAGTCACCACTATTGATGGCACCTTGTGCACCAGGGCTGTGCTAAGTGCCCATCATAGATGGTCTTCTTACCTAGTTGTTACGAACTCATGAAATGGCCTAATAATAATGTAGACAGCCAGTATAGCCTGAAGGTTAAGAACACAGTTCTGGAGCAGGCTGCAGGCTGCCTTGGTGGACATCCCAGATTTGCCACGGTGACAGCAGCTGTGTGACCGTGGGCAGTAACTTATCTGTAATACTCCCCCTCCTCCTCCTAATAATAATAATAACAATACCTCCTCATAGGGTTGCAGTGAGGATTACATGAGTTAGTATAATGTGAAATGCTAAACACAATGCCTGGATCAGGATAATCACTAAATTAAGTGTGTAATAATAATTATTATAGCCCCATTTAGAGAGGAAGAAACTGAGTCACAACTGGGACAGTTAAATCATTGTCATTGATTTCATTGCCCCAGATCACACTTTTAGAAAGTAGCACCACTTGGATTTGAACCCAGGTCTCTGATTCTATACCGAGTGAATTTCCAAGTGTCTTCGAATCTTTGTCCACTCCACCAGCCTCTGGTCCTGTTGAGCCCACACCAGGCTGGCGTGAGTGGACACTCAGTCTCTGTACAGAAAGCAGCAGTATGTAGAGATTTCTCCAGGGTGCAGAGTGAAGCTACAGCTCATTCAGGGTACAGTATGGGAGTGTTGCCCTCCCTTAAAAATCTGTTGCTCAGGTATGAGAATTTACCTCTCTGAGCTTCAGTGTTTTTTAATCTGTAAAAGGTAATAATATTATTTTGCATAGTTTTTGTAAGGATGACATGAGATGTCATCTATGAAAAGTTTGTGCATTCATTCCACAAACATTTATTAAGGACCTACTATGTTCCAGGGACCACTTCAGACATTGGGTATTGTATCAGACAGGGACCAGGCAAAAGACAGAATTCACCCCTAAATGGTCTAAATAAAGAGACTTTAAGGAAGGGGCAACTTATGGAGGAGTGTGAGGGGCTAAGGGAACGTGAGGTATTTAGAATCTGACAACAGAAGGAAACCATTATCCCTAGGGGTGAAGGGACAAAAGGAGAGAATAGAATTTCTAGACTAAATCTAGTAGGTTTAATCTAGACTTGAGCAGGAGAGCTGGTCCATTGAAGCTATAACTGGGGAGGAACTCAGCTACCTTCAAAGTCATGGCACTAAAGCACAGTGGGCACTAGAGAGAAGTACCACCCCCTTCTCTCCCTCTGCCTTCCAGTCTCCTGCTGGGGCCTCACTTTGGCCAAAGGCAAGCAGAAACCTTTCAGCAAGGGAGCTGAGTTGATGCTGCCAACAGGGACCCATCTCCTGTAGCTCAGAGCAGGGCAGAGAAGAGTGGAAAAAGCATAGAATGGGGTCAGGAGGGCACAAAAAGAGAATAACTCTTAGGGGACCAGTGGACAAAATAGACCAGGTCCCTGCTTACAAGGTCAGATTCTAGGAGTGCTTTGTAAATGGCCAAGCATTGTACACAAGTTGGTTAAATCACCAGTATTTGCAGCAGCTGTCTTGATAGCCCTCCTTCCTCTGGTTTTTGTCCAAACCCAAACCCAGGGTGGCCAGCCAGCCAGCTCGAGGTGCTTAAGCGCAACCCAGACATCCAGGTTCTCTATTTAGAAAGCAGAGCAGGGGCCATCCCGGGGCATGTTAAAATTCATGCTTTGTGAGTGCCTTCGCTGTTCTGGACCCAAATTCTAGCCTGGCCCCACAAGGGAGAGATAAAAAGGGACAGCCATGTTTATACAGACAGAAGGGATTGCAAATACAGGGCAGGAGAAACCAAGAATGAAAAACACCCGAGGAGGCAGACGTTAATGAGACCCCAATCTAATTACGCAAGTTCTGCTCTCAGTTTCCAGCATTAGGCAACACTAAATTATAGGCACCCGTTCAAACCGCAGCGGCTGATAATGTGCATCCGCTCATTAGAAGGTCAGACCTCAGAGAGGGCTGAAGAGCAGGAGCCAGGAAGCATCAGTAATGCAAGACCTTGACGAAAGGCATCAGAGTCTCTCAGATCCTCCCCCTCCCCAGCTCCCACCCAGGCTTACTGTTTGTAGGGAGGATGTTTGGGGCAAGAGGGAGATGCATGGGCTTGTCCCAGAGGAGGGGATGGTCTATAAAATCTTAGAGTTCCAGAGTCAGAAGAGCCCCTTAGACTTTTCTATGTGTCCCCATTTTACAGATGGGCAAACTGTGACTTAGGGAAGAGAGAAGGGTGGCTTTTCCAAATCCTCCCAGCGTATCAGCCCCTGAGCCACAATGAGCCCTTGACTCCTGAATCTCTATCCTGGGACTTCTCTAACATCCCATCAAGAAACTTAATTTTTATAATAACATTTCTTTACTCCTTATTTCATACATAATTGCCCAGATTCTTCTGGGCTTCCTGAACTTTTAATTTCAAATTCCAGATATCCATTCATTCAACAGAATTTATTAGAGGCAAATTTCGAGTGCCAGGCTCCAGCAAACATTACATAGAACACAGTTCCTGCACTCACTCCCAGGTACCTGTGTGTGTGTTTGGAAAAGTGTTCCCTTCACCTCTTCTAAATGTCTCTGTATGCATTAAGCTGCTTCCTCCTTTCCTTCCTTTCATTCATTATGTGCCAGACACAGAGGGTACAGTGGTGAATGAAATAGACAGTAGCTCCTGTGGAGCTGATACTAGAGTTGCAGAAAACAATCAATAAGTAAGCAGATATGTGGGCTAAGGGCAGGTCATGAGAAACAGGTGAAGCAAAAGCAACAGAGAAGTTGGTATTTGAGGTGTGGGAAGCAGGGAAGGCCTCCTGAGGAGGTGACTTGAGTGGAGAGGAAAACAGAGTGAGCAGAGCGAGCCCCGTGTGTATGGAGGGTGGAGCTTCCCTCTCTCTCAACTTTGGGTGGACATGCACACAGGTAAGTGGCAGCTTGGGGGCCAAATGAGGGGAAGGAGAAAGGCAGAGACTTCCTTGGCTTGGCATGTACCTTGCTCTCATCCATCAAGATTGTGCTTCTGTGCCCGCTTCTCTCCCTCCCTGAAGTTGAATTTGGTGCCCACCTCCGAGCTCACAAAGCATCTAGGACTAGCCCAGGTAGGCGGCCTGGCTTCATGGCACAGAGGCCACCTGTGTAGGCAAAGCAGACCGCCTGGGCTGGATCCCGGCTCTGCCTTCTCCAAGCTGCAAGGCCTTCGATCAGTCACTCCCTATTTCTAGCTCTTGGCCTCCCCACCTGAAGTGGGGACAGAGTCCTCACTTCATAGATGTGGTATGTGTAAAGCATGTCCATGGTGTCTGTGTTACTAGCTCGGCGCTTGCTAGTTCTCCTTCTTCCTGAAACATTTCTGCAGATGTGACCACTCTTACCCATGCACCTCCTACTGAGTTTCTGATCTCATGTCGCCTCCTCAGGGAGACCCTGCCAGACCGTGCTGTCCGCACTCTCTAGGCCCAACTATGCATTTTTTTTCCTTCAAACATTTATCACTGCCTGAAGCGATTCTAGCTAGATCGCTAATACAGAGACATATAATATTAAATAATATAGAGATATAAGATATGCTATTGTATAATTTATTTTGTTGTTTCTTTTCTAGAACAGAAGGTCTAGATAGCCAGAAAGATTGCTTTGTTCCCACTATATTCCCATATCACATATCAGGTTCTCAATAACTATTTGTTCATTGAATGAAGGAATGCACCAGCCCTTCACCAACAGCTATGTGTTCTGGTCTTACTGCTCTTCCTGTACTATAACTGATTCAGGAGGGTAATTATTATTTACTTCCCCCGTCTCCCCCTGGACTGAACCTTCCTTGAGGATCAAGTTAAGCTGTTTTTCCGAATTGTGGCCCCAGCACCTGGCACAATGCCTAAATCTTTGCTGAAGGCATTCATGACCAGCCGACTCTTTGCATGAATAAGAATCCTACAACTCTGCAAAGTGAAAAGCTCACGGCTGAGGGGAGTCAGGCCTTGGCTTGCACCAGGCACAGACTTCCTGACAGCCCACCACCCACAGCCTTGTGTCCCCAGGCGGGGATGTGGTCTGCAAGGTCAGGCACTTAGGGTCGTCCAGGGGCCCAGCAGAGCAGCCTTGGAGGGGGAAGCCCCCATCTAATCTCTTCACCCAGGGCCTCTGCCCTTGCCACTGCCGGAGAAAGCAGGATCCCTGGGGACTTGCAGAGGTGGGGCGTGGGAACGGGAAGAGAGCAGCACAAGAAAGAGGCAGTGTGAGCCTGTAAAGCGATGCCAGGCTCCGCTGCTGTGCACCTCCAGCCAACAGGCCAGCGGCAGATCTGCCAACTCCCCTGGGAGAGAGAGCTCGGGTCCGACAGAGAAAAACAGTGTGGCTCCTGATTCCCAGAAGCACAGAAACTGGGGATGGGAAAGACTGTGAGGCCGCTGGCTGCGCCCCGCTGACCCTGTGCACTTTCCCATGTGCTGGAGCCACACCCGGAATGACTCCAGCTCTGGGTCCCACTCCACCACCCCCCAAGAACCTGTCCTGCCCTGACATATGCCACTGTGGGAGAAATTGCCCGGTGGCCACTTCAGACTTTTGGCCTTGGCATCCTGGCGTCTTCTCATTCAGAAGCAATCACCTTTTACTAAAAGGCTGTTGGGTACCCAGTACTTCTCAGTGGTAGGACATTTCATCCTCCCTTTGAAAGAAGTGAAATGACGTTTTTCCGAGGCCACATAGCTGACAGGTGGAGGAGTAGGTCTCCAGTTCTGATATGATTTCATATCACACGATCCTTCCACCTGGTTGACACAGCTTAATATTGGAAAAAAACACTAGCATTGGTGTCTGGCAGTCCTGGGTTCAAATCTTGACTTCCCGTTTGCTGTTTGTATGGCTTTGTACAAGTAATCTTACCTCTGACTCCCAGGTTCCTTAACTGTAAAATGGAAATAATGCCTCTTTTTGAGGACTAAATGAGGAAGTCTTTCAATTGTTAGTGCCTGAAATATAGTGAATGCTCTCTGAATGTTCCCTCTACCCCTGCTTCATCTCATACCCCACAACTAGTCTTGTACACCCTTCCCTGCTCCCTGAGATGAGCCTCATGGGGAGAAGAGTTGGGGGGAGACCATCTTAGGGCCCCCTCCTCACCCAGGCAACACAGTGTAGTGAGGAGAGCCCCACAACAGGGATGGAGTGCTCCATTTACAGTTTGCATTTACTGTTTGCAAACTCTCTATCTTCATTTAAAATGTCCATCTGCTTCCTGAGGGCTTGTTGATCCACTAGTTTATTGACATTCAAACCTTTCGTGATGTGAATAATTTAGGAAACCTCTACCCTACTTATTAAAATGCAAATGCTTGTGCCCTGGTACCAGAAAGTCAGATTCCTGGGTGAGACCCAGGAGTTTGCATGTTTTCAAGCTTCGCCTAAGTGACTCTAGCACCAGGGGTCTACAGACCCCACTTTAAAAGCCATTGCACAGCTAGCCTGGGAAAAATAGCAGCATGCAGGCAACTAAAACACAGAATAACATGTTGTATGATTTTATTTTGTTCTATGTGGTTTTAAAATAAATGTGGAAATTTTAGCAACAGTCATAAACCAAGAAAAAAAATTGAACTTGCCTAGAGAAGTTATAAGTTCAAAGTCTAGCTCAACCACTTACCGACAGTAATTATTTCCTTTCTGGATCTGTATCCTCATTTATAAAGTGGAGATTTGTATAAAGTTTTTTTGTGGAACAAACTACCCCAAATCTTTGTGTTGTAAACCCACAACCATTTTATTTGCTTTCAATCTGTGGGCCAGGAATTTGGGCAGGGCTTAGCTGGGTGGTTCTTCTGCTCCATGCAGTGTTGCCTGGGATGACTCACTTGACTGCATTCAGCTTGTGGCTTGGCTGGGCTGGAAGGTCCAAGTAAACTTCACATTCAGTCTGTTGCCTTGGTGCTCCTTCACGTGGCTATTGAGCTTCCTCACAGCCATGTGGTCTCAGCATAGTCAGATTTCTCATGTGGTAGCTGGTTTTCAAGAGGGCACATTACAAGAGGGGCAGAAGCTGCAGGTATCTTAAGGACTAGCATCAGAAGTTACACAGCACAACTTCTCCCTCATTCTAGTGGTCAAAGACAGGCACAGGGGAAACCTAGGTTTAAGGACACCCCACCTCTCAGTGGAAGGAGGGCCAGAGAATTTGAAGACATGCTAATCCACCATTTCCCCCTTCAATCTGTTCTCTACACAGCAGCCAGAGTGATTCTTCTGAAACTAAATCAGATGCCAAATGCATGTTTAAAACTCTACAAGGGCTTCCCATCCCTGTTAGAATGAAATTCACAATCCTGACTATGGTTTGCAAAACCTCATATGATCTAGGCTTCTGCTGCTGCCTCTCCACCCTCCTGCCCCTTACCCACAATGGTACTTCCATCCTTTGCTGTTCTGTGTAGGTCAAGCATATTCTCTCCTCAGGGCCTTTGCACTTGCTATTCCCTCAACTGGAAAGCTTTTCCCCTAGATATTAACATGGCTCTCCCCTTCACTACATTTCGGCCTTGCTCAAATATTACCACTTCCTTCTCTGACCATCCTACCCAGAATAACACAGGTGGATCTCTATACCGTCATCCTGCTTTATTTTTTAACAGCCCTCATTGCTACTGCTATGCTTGCTTATATGTTCCTTACCCAACCTCTGGCACCAGAATATAAGCCCCTTGAGGGCAGGAATTTTATCTGTTTTGTAAATAATTCACTCCATCCCTAGTACTTAGAATGAATGGCACTATTTTGGTTGAATGAATAATTCTTTTTTTATTATTATTATACTTTAAGTTCTGGGGTACATGTACAGAAGGTGCAGGTCTGTTACATAGGTATACATGTGCCATGGTGGTTTGCTGCACCCATCAACCCATCATCTACATTAGGTATTTCTCCTAATGCTATCCTTCTCCCAGACCTCCACCCTGCAGCAGGCCTCAGCGTGTGATGTTCCTCTCCCTGTGTCCATGTGTTCTCATTGAATGAATAATTCTTATAGCCTGCTTTTAAAAAAATAACTTGCACTTGAGCCTGCCTTCCCCACCAGACTGTCCGGTCCCTGAAGGCAGAGGTCAAGTTGCTTTCATATTTGCAGCCACCAGCTGCAGCACCTGGTTATATGAGAACTGTTGAGCCTTAGTTTGAGCCCCACTCCTTGCTTGAAGCTCCAAATTTACTCTTTTAGAAATCTCTATAGCCTTCCTTTGTTTTCAAACATGTATCAAGTTCTTACTATTTGCCATATAATGTGATAAGCTAGTGAGCTTCCATGCATTTTCCAACTTAATCCTCAAAACAACTCCACATGGGCCAGGCATGGTGGTTCACGTCTGTAATTCCAGCACTTTGGGAGGCCGAGGCGGGCGGATCACAAGGTCAGGAGATTGAGACCCTCATGGCTAACACGGTGAAACCCTGTCTCTACTAAAAATACAAAAAAAAAAATTAGCCGGGCATGGTGGCGGGCGCCTGTAGTCCCAGCTACTCGGGAGGCTGAGGCAGGAGAATGGCACGAACCTGGGAGGCAGAGCTGGCAGTGAGCCGAGATTGTGCCACTGCACTCCAGCCTGGGCAACAGAGCGAGACTCCGTCTCAAAAAAAAAAAAAAAAACTCCACATGATAGGGCCTGTTACTATCCCCATATTACAGATGGGGAAACTGAGTCACAGAGTAGCCAAATAACTTGCCTGAGGTTACCCCAAAAGTGGAGAAGCCAGAATTTAAATCCAGGCTGGCTTATTCTAAATCCATGCTCTTAACTTCTACACCATGCTGCTTTCTACATGATTGAGTATGACTATGACTCGTCTTTTTTGTCTATTTCAAAACTGTTCTAAGCATGCTCATCCCATTTCCTCTGTTAGCTCAGGTTTGTATCTTTTGATTCTCTCTTAAGCCAGCGCTGTCACTTACATTGGACAAGTTAACGAATCTTGCTGTGCCCCAGTTTCCCCAAACACAAAATGGAGATAATAATAGAAACTAACCTAAGTTATGGTTGGGAGAGTGAAATGAGCTAATTCACATTAAACGCTTACAAACATGCCTTGCAACAATGCCATATAGTCAGCACCCAATAAATCTTAGCTACGATTATTGTCGATTTTCATCAAAGCACAAAACACAACTTTATGCTTGGAACATACGCTTGTTTTGCCTCTCCCGTTAAAGAGTGAGACTTTTGCTATTTTTATTTGTTCCTGCCAATAAACAGTGAGACCTGCCACAAAACGGCACCACAGGATGCCCACTGTGCCTGCACAAAGAGCTCTTGTGTCCTGACACCTTTTGCGGCTCTTCGCATTGTCATTCTTCCCCACTCCGGCAGCATGAATTGAACGCCTGCCCTGTGCCAGGCTTTCTGTGAGGCATTTCCCCACACACTGTGTCACTTTATATTCTTGTCCCCATATCACAGATGAAGAAACTGAAGCTCTCAGAGCTTCTATAACTTGCCCCTAAGAGCCCAGCAAGAAAATAGAAAAACCTAACTGGCCCACATTCTCCTCTGCCTGCCCCCAATCTCTTCTCTACACAGGAGCCAGAGAGTTTTTCTGTTTTTTTCTTTAAAAAAAAAAAAATAATAGACTTGGCTGTGCGGGGTGGCTCATGCCTGTAATCCCAGCACTTTGGGAGGCCGAGGTGGGCGGATCACGAGGTCAGGAGATCGAGACCATCCTAGCTAACATGGTGAAACCCCATCTCTACTAAAAATACAAAAAATTAGCTGGGTATGGTGGTGGGTGCCTGTAGTCCCAGCTACTCTGGAGGAGTGGGAATGAATGGTGTGAACCTGGGAGCTGGAGCTTGCAGTGAGCTGAGATTGTGCCACTGCAGTCCAGCCTGGGCGACAGAGCGAGACTCCATCTCAAAAAAAAAAAAAAATTAATAGAGTTTACATCTTAGAGCAGTTTTCAGTTCATGGCAAAATTGTACAGAAAGTACAGTTTGCATAGGCCTCTGCCCCTACACGTGCAAAGCTTCCCTCCCTCACTATCCTGTACCAGAGGGGTATAGTTTTTATAATCGAACCTCATCTACACACCATCGTCGTCCAAAGTCCCTAGTTGACACTGGGGCTCATTCTTAGTGTTATTTAGTCTATGGGCTTTGGCAAATGTGTGACATGTATCTACCATTGCGGTATCGTATAGAATAATTTCTCTCCCCTAAACATCCCGCATTCCACCTGTTTATCACTCCTTCCACCCAAACCTTGGCAACCACTGATCTTTTCACAAACTTCGTCTAGTTTTGCCTTTGCTAGATGTCATGTTGTTGGAATTATTCAGTATGTAGCCTTGTTAGAGTGAGACTTTTTTTTTTTAGAGAAAAGGTCTTGCTGTTTTGCCCAGTCTAGAATGTAGTGGTACAATCATAGCTCACTGCAGCCTCAATCTCCTGAGCTAAAGTGATCCTCATGCCTCAGCCTCCCGAGTAGCTAGGCCTACAGGTGCATGCCACCACCCCTGGCTAATTTATTATTATTTTTAGTAGAGATGGGGGGGTCTCACTATGTTGCGCAGGCTTGTCTCAAACTCCTGGCTTCAACTTACCCTCCCACCTCGACCTCTCAAAGTGCTGGGATTACAGGTGTGAGCCACCGTGCCCAGCCAAGAGTGAGTGCTTTAAAACTTTAATTGTTGTCTCAGTTTCAGCCACATTTTTCTCAGCTCTTCAATCTTCATCTCTTCTTTCCTATCCCAGGCCCCACGTATTCTGTTTCCTCTGCCTGAGAAGCTCTTCCCTTCTTATTTCACCAAAAAAACCTTCTGCTCATCCTTTCCTCAGCTCAAATGTCACTCCTCAGAGAAACCACTGATGCCCTCTCATATTGACCTCCATCGTGCCCAAAGCTCTGCGGGCAACTATCAGTCTTTACTGAGTCAGTGGAGGAACTATATGTATAGCTCCCATGTATTAAGCACTTGCTTTGTGTCGGGGAACTGTGCTGGGCACTTTGCATGTATTATTTCTAAATTCTTACATTCTCCCTTCTTGATGCGTACGATAAGCTACATCTTATAAATGTGAGATCAAGGCTCAGAGAGGTTCAGTGTCTTGCCCAAAGTTCGACAGCTTATGAGGGTGGAGTTGATATTTGAGTCCAGCTCTGTCTGAATTTAAAGTCCATGTTCTGACAACTACACCATGCCACCTTCTTTTTCTGACGTCGGAGTGGGTGTTGGGCCTCTGCTGGTGACAGAGCATTGGGGCTTTCTGAGTGGGTGGGCTGGTGGCTGCCCATTTCCATGGTTCAAGGGTCAGAGGAGAGGCTGTCACCTTTTTAATACGGTGCAGCAGCAGCTCTGCAGTTGAGCGATCACAGCATTTGTTCACCACATGATGGTTTGGCTCCCGTTCAGTTTCCCGGGGAGAGCCGTGCAGCCATCTTTTATTACCACCCTCGGAGCTGAGAGAAAGAAACATAAAGAGATAAAGTGACTGTGTGGCTTGCATTTGCTTCCTGCCTGCGCTGCCTCCATGCTCCTGCTGCCCCCCTCCCATCCCAGGCCCCCACAGGCATCAGGGCAAGGTTGAGACCATTCTTTGTCTCCCATCTGGCCATGTTTATTCTCTCTCCACCAAACACTGAGGCAGGAGAAGAGTCAAGATGGCTGGATAAGGTTGCACAGCTTGTGCACCACGCAAAGGCATACGGTGTCCTCCAAGTGGGGATTGAAAATCAGCCTGATGTCTGCTTACCTGTGCTCTAGCTTGGGGCTGCCCCTGCCCTTTTTCTAATTTGCACAGATGTCTTATAGGTCAGTAGGAAAGGCTGGAGAACGTGGCTTGCAGGAAAGAACATTGGATATCCCTGGGCTCTGTTAACCAAATACCTCCTTTCTGTGTGGGATCTGAATTTGCAAAGATGCCCAGACCCCAGACTGCTGACACCAGAGCTCCTATAAGCATAAATCACTATAGTCATCATTAGCAACTCTTCTATCTAGACTTGGAACTCCTCGTGCAAATTGCTATGACCCTATGTCTGTGTGTGACTTCTTGGGTCAAGAGCAAAGCAGTTTAGGCAGGGTGTTAAGACCACAAGCCATGCAGTTAAGCTGACCTGGATTCAGGTTCTCCCTCCATCACTTACTAGCTGTGTGATCTAAGGTCACTCACTTCACCTCTGAGCCTCAGCTTCCTCACCTGTGAAATAGAATGGTGCTTATAAAGGTTAGATAAAATCTAGGCAGCCATGATAAAAATGGCTAGCATCAATTGTTTACTATGTACCTGCCACTGTTCTAAGCACATTTAGAGAGATTAATTCCTTGAATCCTCTGAACGACCTATTTTCCAGATGAAGAATCTGAGGCACTGAGAGGTTAGCTATTCAGTTGGTGCAAACATAATTGTGATTTTTGCCATTACTTTCAATGGCAAAAGCGCAATTACGTTTGCACCAACCGAATAACTCGTCCAAGGTCAGACAGCTGCTCAGTTGGTGAAGCTGGGGTCTGAATCAGAGCTGTCTACTAACTCTTGAAGTAAAAGACACAGAAGTAAAGTCCAGTCCCTTGCACAAAGAACGTACTCAATAAATAATAGCCATTGCTGTTATCAGCAGGCTACCAGGATCCAAGGCTGCCAGGGCAGGGGGGAATTCTACAGATCATCCATCATGTCATGTGGTTCTCGAACCCTGTTCCACAGAGGCGCCTCCTAGTTTCTTTGAGCTTTTTGGGGGTACGGGGTGCTGAGTGATCAGAATTCCAGCTCTCCTCTCCCCACCCCCATCTCTTTAACCCAGAGAATTAGTTATAAACACTTTCATCTGTTTATATCTTAAAATTCCAAGTAAAAATGTTTCCAGAAAAGAGTTCCACTGCCAGACAAGAGTTTAAAAACACGTGGGCTAGCCTAACCCATTCATTTTAAAATAAACGTGCCACAGAGAGGGCAAGTAGCGTGCTCAGTGACACACAGAGTGAGTTGGAGACTGTGCCAGGGCAGAGCTATTTCCTGATTTCCCAGAGCAGTGGCTTTTTGCTAAGCCTCCTTCAAGGTCTTGTTTTTTCCCCTCCAGTGCCAACCCAGAGAATGTATTTTGCTTGCATTTCCCAGAGCCCCTCATTCCAACGCGCCTTCTCGCAGTCTCCGAGCACACCGCTTGTATGTGCGTCTGACTAGGGTACACTCTTCATGCAAATGCTGACAGGTGCCCCCAGTCCCAGGCCGACCGACCCGGGAACTGCACTGCTTCACAAAGGCGAGTCTAGGAGGCTGGGCTCATGCTACTGGCTCTGTCTCTCGCCGTGATGGTCGGACTTGAGCTCAAAGAGGAGAGAAGGCTGACAGGTTCATAGTGTTAATGGGATACATTTGAGAAATGCTAAACCAACAGTGTTTGGAAATTCAGGCCAGCAGCCAGGCACTGAGCCGGCCAAATTTCAGCTGGGGGTGAGGTAAGGGGTGGGGGGGCGGGGGTGGCAGTATATTCTGAGACAGAATTAGAGTGTCTTTTAAAAACTGGATGAAGACGTTGTTTATTCAAGACCCTGGGAGAGCAAAGATAAAACATGCCTAATAGATTTGGGGTCTTTCCGCAGACAGCTCTCCTAAACTGTCTCCATCATCGTAATAAAGAATTGCAGCCATCCACTGAGGCCTACGGTGTGCTGGGCAGCTTTGCCTAGATCCTGTCCCTGAAGTAAACTAGCGCACAGATTAGGAAGCTGAGGTTCAGAGAGGCAAAGTCACTTGCTCAGGGTCACACAGCTAATGGTTGTGAAGGAACCGGGATTTAACCTGCCTTTAACCACTGGGTTATATCCAATGTTCAACACCAAAGCTCAGAGAGTGGAGTTATGTCCACAGCCAGAAGAGAACAGAGGTGGAGTATGAACCCAGGTGTATCTCTAAAGACCATGACTTGTCAACTGTATCTTGCTGTGTACCTCCCTCATGGGTGCCCATGCGTCCTTCTTTCCCAGGGTTTAGCATGCCGCCTAGTCCAGGGAAGGGGCTTCGTAAATGTTGACTGAATGAATGAATGAATGAGCGAACCTCAGTGTATCATATTGTGGTGAGGCCTATCAAGCCTAAAGAAAGAATTAGATGGTCCTTACTTGGGAATGTCCAGTCTTTCTCTTGGGGTCTCATTGCTATGATAATCTGCCCTAACAGCCTAAATTAATTGATAGGTTTAGGGTTTTTTAGGATGTCTTAATTCTCTGTTTACCTAGTGTTCTGCTTATCCCAAGTTAGTTAGAGTGTCTCAATGGTCTCCATCTAAATCCATAGTATTAACCAGCTTAAACTGCTTAGCCCTTGACCCTAGAGGTCAGGGTCCTAATCTGTTTTCAGCTTTGCAGCCCACGTGGCCTGTCACCGCTACTTAACTCTATCATTATGGCATGACACACACAGTACACATATGATTAAGTATAGCTGTGTCCTAATAAAACTTTATTTACAAAAACAGGTGATAAGCCAGATAGGACCTCTGGGCTATAATTTGCCAATCTGTGGTTAAAGGTATGGCCTTGGGTCAGATGTGGAGTGTATCTGTAGTTCCAGCTACTTGGGAGGCTGAGGTGGGAGGATCACTTGAGCCCAGGAGTTAAAAGGTTGCAGTGAGCTATGACCATACCACCGAACCCCAGCCTGGGTGATACAGAGAGACCTCATCTCTTAAAAAAAAAAAAAAAAAAAAAGGCTAGGCGTGGTGGCTCACCCCTGTAATCTCAGCACTTTGGGAGGCCAAGGTGGGCGGATCACTTGAGGTCAGGAATTCGAGACCAGCTTGGCCAACATGGCAAAACCCCATCTCTACTAAAAATACAAAAATTAGCCAGGCGTGGTAGTGGGCACTTATAATCCCAGCTACTCAGGAGGCTGAGTCAGGACAATCACTTGAACCTGGGAGGCGGAGGTTGCAGTGAGCCAGGATCATGCCACTGCACTCCAGCCTGGAGGACAGAGTGCGACTCTGTCTCAAAAAAAAAAAAGAAAAAAGGTATGGCCTCTTGGAGTGTGCCTGTCTGGGTTAAAATCCCAGCTCCAGCCCTTACTGGCTGCATTGACATTGGACAAATTATAAAACTTCTGTGTGCATTAGTTTCACCATTTGTAAAATGTGGATGATAATGATCTTCCCTTATAGGGAGGTTGCAAGGAATAAAATAATACTATAAGGCACTTAAAAATAGTGTCTGGCACTCCATAATTGTCAGCCTCTATAATCGTTAGTTACCCATAGACAGAGTGGTGTATGTTACCCTGTAATGATATCAATAGCAGCCTTTTGGGGCCATGTATGGTAAGAATTGGATGAGGTCATTTACGTAAGCTCCATTAGAGCAAGGTTTTTAGTATTTTCTTCTTTATTGTTTTTTATTTCCCTCTAATAAAACTATTTACAGAAACAGGTGAGCCAGCCCATGGGCCATAGCTTGTTAATTTGATATTTTTTAAAAAATATTACACTAAAATATTGTTTCCCTTGATTAGTGAATTTTTTGGCTCCCTACTCCCACCTTAGATTCAGTTCCCAAGGTGAGTGCTTCACTCACCTCCCAGCCTGGCCAGAGCTTAGAGCAGTTCCTGGCACATAGTAGGCATTTGCTGAATGTCTGTTGAATGCATGAAAGTACCTGGAAATGGGGCCTAGCACAGAGTGAGTCTTCAATAAATGGATCTTCCCACAGTGTTTGCATGCTGTAGGGGTTTAGAGGTCAAGCTTGGGAATCAGACTGCCTGGGTCCATGTTCTGGCCCAGCCACTTACTGTGTGGCTTTTCACAGCTTCTTAGCTTCTCTGTGCCTCAGTTCCCTTATATGTAATCCTAGGCTAGTGAAAGTACCTTCCTTAGAAGGATGTTGTGAGGATATTAAATGACTTAATTCACTTAAAATGCTTACAGGAATCTGGGACACATGATGAGCACACAATAGATATAAATATATCTATTAATTAATGGTGGGAATGTAAATTAGTTCAACCATTGTGGAAGACAGTGTGGTGATTCCTCAATGATCTAGAACCAGAAATACCATTTGACCCAGCAATCCCACTATTGAGTATACACCCAAAGGATTATAAATCATTCTATTATAAAGACACATGCACATGTATGTTTATTGCAGCACTATTCATAATAGCAAAGACTTTGAACCAACCCACATGCCCATCAATGATAGACTGGATAAAGAAAATGTGGCACATATACACCATGGAATACTATGCAGCCATAAAAGAGGATGAGTTCATGTCCTTTGTAGGGACATGGATGAAGCTGGAAGCCATCATTCTCAGCAAACTAACACAGGAAGAGAAAACCAAACACCTCATGTTCTCATTCATTAGTGGGAGTTGAACAATGGGAACACATGGACACAGGGAGGGGAACATCACACACCCGGGCCTGTCGGGGGGTGGGGGGCAAGGGGAGGGTGAGCATTAGGACAAATGCCTAATGCATGCAGGACTTAAAACCTAGGTGATGGGTTGATAGGTGCAGCAAACCACTATGGCACATGTGTACCTATGTAACAAACCTGCACATTCTGCACATGTATCCCAGAACTTAAAGTTAAAAAAAGATATTAATATATTTACTATTTTTCCCCTGGGGTTAAGCATCACTGATGGGCAAAATGGCAGGAATGAATAGGGCATCTAAGGAAGAACTAAGTAGAATCATTTCAAATAAGTGGAATTTTCCATTTTTAAATCCTGGTGAGCATTAGAACTATCTGATGAGCTTGGCTAAATGCAGGTTCCTGTTCCCCACTCCAGGGGATCTTGATTCATTGTGTTTGAGGCCCAAGAATCCCCTTTTTCAACATGCTAAGTGAGCTGTGTTGCAGAGGGTCCCAGGAGCACACACTGAGAAATGCCAGATCGTTGTTTGCAGGGAAAGACGTTTCTCTCTTCCAGGTCGTGCGCCTTCCTGAGAACAACCAGACCAGCTACTTCCTGCCGCTTTTCTTCCCTCTGTGTCCTTGGAGGGGATCTGCTTCCAGGTGGGGTCAGTTAGTTTCAGCTGCTCCTAGGTCTTTCCCATGGGCCTCTAGCTGTGCAAACCTTGGAATTTTTGTACCAGAGTTTCCCAGTTAGAATATCCAGGGCTCTGCCAATGATACCAAACCTGCTGCACCTCTCTGTGAATGTCCGACCTCTCTGCCATGGGATGCCCTGCAAGCTGAGGTTTCCTCAGGATACCTGACTGTGATTCATGAATGAAAGGGCACGAACCCTTAGAGGGGGTGCCAGTATCTCTTCTTCAAGACCCGGGGAAGTTAGTGCAGCTTGAATCTCAGGCCAGAGCTGCCCATATAGGAGGGCAGAGGCAGAGTGCAGGGAATACAGGCTCTTGCAGCCACACAGACCTGCTTCAAACCCTGTGGCTCTGGTACTTATCAGCTATGTGGGAGCCTTGGATAAGTGACTTACTGACCATGTGCCTCCTAAGCTCCACTTCTTTAACCAGATAGAATCATGCCCTCCTGGCAATGCGCCTGTGAGAATCAAATGCAGTGTGAAAGCAAAACACCCAGCCAGTGTCTGGCGCACAGCAAGTGCTCAGAGCGTAACTGTGTCTGCAGTCAGGAATTTGAGGCAGGGTGGAGGGTGGCAACCAAGGTAGGTCTCTTTCCCTCTGTCCCCCTTTGTCTTCCTGACCATGCAGACTCTTTGCCTTATGCTCTGGGACATTTATTGGTTCCCTAAGTGTGGTTTTTGTCCTCCCACCTAGATTGCAGGCTCAGTGAAGTTGCAAGTTAGAGTAATACTGTGTACCACTTTGCCACTCCCCTAAAGTTTATTGAATAGAAACTTTGGAGGAAACAACTGAAGGTGGGCAATTCCAGTTTCTCTATTATTTTCCCCAAAATACCTTATTTGTATCCTCCTTCATTTCAATGACTAAGTGAAATAATGTGGGACAGTGTCTGACTCATACAAAATATTGCTTTTTTGTGAGAGTATAGCAAATTCGAGCTCGCAAGAGACTCTTTAGTTCACTTAATTCCACCCTGTGGTTTTATAGATGAGAAAACTGAAGCTCAGAGAGGGGAAGGGGCTTGCAATTGGGGGTTCTCATCTGAACCACAGAACACAAAAGCACATAATGATGACTATTTTCACAGTTCTCTGAGGGACGGTATATAATTTGTACCATTATCCATGGACAGGAGGGAAGTTAATTCATTGCATGCAAAGAATGCCTTACAACACTGACACTTTATTGTCTACCAGGACAATTGCGAAGGGCTGAGCAAATGATACCAGAGCTGTGGCTAGCCCAGACATCTTACCCCACCTGAAAGCTTCCCACAGTGGACAAGAGTCCACAGTCCAAGTGTTGCGTGGAGTGGAAGGAAGAAACTGTCCCATTACTTGTTCAAATGCTTTATAAAATCCCAAGACTCTATATGCATAAGGAGATTTTTCTGCCTGTTTGGAAGATGGTCGAAAAAACTGTCACATGTACAAGCAAAATGCCTCTAAAACCCCAATTCTGCTTTTACTGTGTATATTAGGGCAGGCTATCTGTTATGAAAAAAAAAAACAAAAAACTTGGTGGTCTAACACAAAAGAAGCCTAGGTCTCACTCAATCAAGAGTAGAGTGTGGCATTCAGCAGACGACCTTCTTCAGAGTTCCTCAGGAATCCAACCAGGCGCCTTCCATCTTGTGACTCCACCATCGCTAGGTACTCAGAGCCCTCTGCAGACTCTCTGCATCTGCTAGCCAAGGGAGGAGGAGAGGATAGACTGCTTGGAAAGATTTTTATGGGCCAGGCCTCGCAGAGCCATATTGCAGTATCACTAGCATTCCATTCATCCCATTGGCCAGAACTCTGTCACATGCCCACACTCAACCACAAGGCCTGCTGGGAAATGTAGTCCAGATGGGGATACCCAGGTGGAAAAGGAAACAAGCTTGGCCAAATATCTCTGCCATAATTTATAACTTTAAACAAGTCTCATTTATTACCCACCTTTAAAGCAAGGAAATGAGGCCTGCTTACATCATAGACTTGTGCCAAGGATTAAGAGAAATAATGTCTGTTGTGGTGCTCTGAGGCAGTAAATACAGGTGAACTACTATTATTATTAATTTCACCACCTCCTGAAATGTATGTACTACTATGTACTGGGCCTGGCCCGGGGCCCAATACATAGTAGGTGCAAAACAAACCATTGTGCAGTTGATGGTCTTCCCACCAGCCTCCTGAATGCATGCTTTGCTCCAGCTAGCTGGCATTTGGTTCACACACACATCTTTTTGACAAGTCACCCATTGTCGTCAGTCATTGCCGATTGCCCCTGCCAGCTATGAGCTGGAACACAGGAAGGGTTTTATCTGAAGCCTGAGACATCCTGAAAGGATGAAGCCTCCCTTCTTGGGTACCTGGAAGGCTGCCCATTGCACCTCACATTCTTTACAGCCTGGAGGCCGATGGTAACCATGAGCTCTGTGAGGGGCTACAGCAGCCAGCTATGGAGGCTGCTGCTGATGTGCGAAGCGCATGGCTTGTGGCCTGGAGAGCTCAATTCTTTTCCCAAGCCCCCTCCCCCTACCCACAAGCTCTAGTGTTGCTCAGAAGGAGGAGGAAAAGGCCCCAGAACAGTTGTCAAAACTTGATCGTCAGTGGTGTGCGCAGTTCCCTGTACTATATATAAGTAGGTGTTTTGAATGTTTAAGACATAGAACTTGTTAGATGGGTATTTTTTAAAAAAACGAATGTGTAAAACAAAGATCACCTCACAGGTCATAACAGCTTGCACTTACATAATGTTTACTATGTGCCAGGCATGTTAATTAATTTAGTCTTCAAAACAACCCTATGAGATGAAGAGATAATTATAGCAATTTTAGGGTAGAGAAAATTGGGGCACCAAACATTCACTGGTCTTACTCAAGGTCAGTCACAGGAGTGTACCTTTAGTCAGAGCATGGACTCTATAGCTCACCAGAGTCCCCACCACTCCCTAATGTATCCCAGACATAGGGGCTGAGCATCAATTATCATTTCTCTGTACTCGAAAAACAGTAGAGAGCGTGTTTTTTAAGACTGTGATTCTGAATCCAAACCACCGTAGTTTAAATTCTGGCACTGTCACATTTTAGCCATGTAAACTGGGAAAGTTATTAACTGCTCTAAACCTCAGTGTCCTCCTCAGTAAAATACATCCAGGACCACCAACTTTTTTTTTTTTTTTTGTCTCCAGGGGTTATGCTTAATGCAGCATACTGTTTTGCAAACTCTGACTTGAGACATATTCAGATCTTCTCTATTTGCCAACAGATGTGGAAAAAGGAGCTCAGAAAGTTCCAGTAATTTTCCCATGGTCAGTGACGGTACCACATCTTCAGTTAGAACCTAGTCCCATGAACCTGCCCACGAGTCCCATCCTCCTTGCATTTGCTTGTTTTATAAAAGCCTCTATTCTCAGAAGCTGGTGTGAATGCTTTGGAGTGAACAGCTCTACCATTTATTAGCAAGGTGATCATAAGCAAGGTACAACCTGGGCCTCAATTTTCCCATCTGAAAAATAGGCTAATAAAAAACCAATGAATTTTTCACAAGATTGCAGAGATTGAATGGAGAAGGTATTTCAAATGGCTTCCTCTATCTTCAGACCTTGGAGGTATTGGCCAGTCTTGCCTGGAATACCCATGTTGCCATCCCAGCTCCAGAAAATATCTTTGGCATGGCCAACTCACACCCATCTTCCTGATTCCTTGTTACTGCTCACTTGTGCTTAGAAACCCTCACTGACTACATTCTCCCTTGACCCAGACCAGCCTGGAATTTGGGGACTGCATGGATTTTAAGCTCATCATATTGTTTCAAATTATTTCAGTTGTTTCATATTGTCTTGCTTAAGAATTTATCCCCAGAACCAAGCCCTAGGCTCATGCTAAATAAATGTGTGTTGGGAACAGCCGCCACCTAGGGGGCTGCCTGGAAGGTGCCTCCACTTCCTTTCCATGGTGAGGAATTGGGTGTAGAGTTGGGGGTCTTCTGGTTCCATTCTCATGTGCCCAACAAAGCTGTGCAGCCTCCCAGATCTCATAGAGAAATCTTTGAGACCTTGGAATGGGCCCTTTCCAAGAGGGGCTCTGCTCTCCTCAGAAGAACAGAGATGCTGGGAGGCAGGAGCTGGGCTGTCCTCCCCTTCAGTAGCTTCAGCTCCAGCCAGCAAGGCTGGCCCAGCTCAAACCATGATTGGTTGACATCGTAAGGCAGAAAGGCCATGTGGCCCTTGGGTTTCCAAATGCAGCATCTGCAGCTAGACTGCCTGGATTTAAATACTGGCAGGACTGCTTCCCAGTTGTGTGCCCTCGGGCAAGTTAGTGACATCTCACTGGTGCCATTTTCCTCATCTGTAAAATGGGAACCGACTTCGGAGGGTTGTCCTGGGGATTAAGAAACTAAAACCTGTAAAACATCTACACGAGGCTATGGTGCATATTAGGCACATTGAAAGTATTTGATAAATAGAAAGCTAAATATGTGAAGCAGGATGCTTGGCTGATCATTATGAGAGGAGCTCCAAGACAAGCAGGATGACTGTGAGCTGTGCAGTGAGGGAAGGGTTCACCAAGATAAGGAATTGGACTTGGGCCTGAAAGGAGGGACAAGATTCTCTTTAGTGGCAAGAAGTAAGAAGCACTAACATTTATGTAGCATCAACTAAAAGCCAGACACTGTACTATATACTTGCTAATTCAGTGCTCATGTCCCAGTGAGGAAACTGATGTTCAGGTGGATTAAGTATCACCCAACAACCCAGCCTCTAAGAAGCACAATTAAGATTTGAACTCAGATCTCACTGGCTCCAAAGCCTGTTTTCCAGCACTTATCTATACCAGAAATGTGGCACTTTGTCACACGCAACTGTGTATTAGTCAATGTTCAAGTACTTGTTACTGTATTAAAATGCCAACTCCTATTCATAAGCTTTTAAGCATACACCATCTGTGTGCTCCCAGTACCCAGCTAGACTGATCAGCATTAAAGACTGCAAATTGCATAATTTTGCATCACCACATTTTCCTCTCCATATCCTAACACTCATTCAGCAAACATTTATGAGTGCTACCTGTATGCTAGATACATCTATTGGATGCTGTTGCTGCATCAGTAAACCAAATATTTCCGCTGCCGTCATGTAGCTGATAGTCTAATGGACAAGGGGCAGATATTGATCAAATAATTAAATGTGCCATCTTAGAATATAAGTAGGAAAGTACTAGGCAGTAAGTCTTCCCAGAAAAAAATGCTAAATAAATGTCAATTTCCTGGCTAGGATGGTGAGATAATGACCATAGTATACATGTCCAGGTCTTTAAATCCTCAGGAAGAGAAAAATACAGGCAGTCTGCCAGGTATTCCATTGGGAAACTGGGGATGAAGTGAGGAGTATATACAGTTCTTGGCCTCATAGAGCTTACAGTCTAATAGGGAAGCCGACATGTCACTTAGAACAGTAAAACTATCAAAGTCTATGCAAAAGGCTAGTTGGTCAAAAAAGGATGTCTCTTAAAATATAGAAGGCATGGATTTTTGTTGTTTTTGTTGTTCACTGCCAAATCCCTTAGAAGAACACCTGGCACAGAGTATTTATTCAATAAATGTTTATTGAATGAACAAATGACCATAACATTTACAATGGGTTTTAAAAAATGAACAGAAGTTTGTCAGGAAATTTGCCCGGAACTTTGCAGTGACCCGGATGTAAGGGATTCCTTCAGGGCTGAAAAGATGAAGAGGATCTGCTGCTTCAGAACAAGGATC
This sequence comes from Homo sapiens, assembly GCF_000001405.40. Lineage (NCBI taxonomy): Eukaryota > Metazoa > Chordata > Mammalia > Primates > Hominidae > Homo > Homo sapiens. The sequence continues at coordinate 32,900,290 of NC_000022.11, read as the reverse complement.
TGAAAAGATGGTGCTGGGCTGAGTGGCAACTCAAGCCCAATTTCATTTCAGCTCTCTCTTGCCTCAAGTCCATCTTCATGAGCTGATCTCTGGGTTTCACCAGGACAGTTCCATGGGAGACAGTACTAGAAGGTCACGCTCTCTCAGAATATTTTAGCTAATAAAGGCCCCAGAAGTATACCATCTGACTTCCTTGTTTTTTTTTTTTTTTTTTTTGAGACGGAGTCTCGCTCTGTCGCCCAGGCCGGACTGCGGACTGCAGTGGCGCAATCTCGGCTCACCGCAAGCTCCGCCTCCCGGGTTCACGCCATTCTCCTGCCTCAGCCTCCCGAGTAGCTGGGACTACAGGCGCCCGCCACCGCGCCCGGCTAATTTTTTATATTTTTAGTAGAGACGGGGTTTCACCTTGTTAGCCAGGATGGTCTCGATCTCCTGACCTCATGATCCACCCGCCTCGGCCTCCCAAAGTGCTGGGATTACAGGCGTGAGCCACCGCGCCCGGCCGACTTCCTTGTTTTAACTGTAAAAGAACGAAGGCTCAAAAGAGGGAAATTGACTTGTTCAGGGTTTCTGGCTAGTGAGTTTCAGGGCCAGGACAAGAACCCAGCATTTTAACTCCAGGCCTTATTATATGTGGTGTTTCCAAGCTAATTTAATTTTAAGCAGAATAACCCTTTTTCCTAATTAAATTTTAAGTGGATGAATTCAGAAATGCTCTAGATAAAGCCATATAGAGGCCACTGGTGGGCCCATAACCTCCATCATGGACCAACCCCTCATTCCCTGCACACACGCTCCTTCTTTAGGGGGAAGTTAACCTTTTCTCAGTTGTATGAAAGTCTCACTTGATTAACGCCTCCGTTCCCCAGTCCCACTCCTGCTTACAAAAGGATTTCTTCTCCTAAACCCCATTTCAAAACCACTGCACTGTAGATAATATAAGCTAAGTTCTTAGCACAGTGCCCTGTGTATAGTAAGTGCTCAATATGTGTTCATTATTGCCATTTTCATTGTGCACTGGCTCAGTCCATAGGCATCAGAAAAGTGGGGAAGGGAGCTGCCGTTTGTGAACCACCCGCTAGGATTCAGGCACAGTACTTGATGCCGACCATAACTTACCTTGGTTAATCTTCCTAATCAGGTCAATCTACCATCTCATTTTTTTCGTTGTTTTGTTTTGTTTTGTTTTTGAGACAGAGTCTCACTCTGTCGCCAAGCTGGAGTGCAGTGGCACAATCTCAGCTCACAGCAACCTCCGACTTCCTGGTTCAAGCGATTCTCCTGCCTCAGCCTCCTGAGTAGCTGGGATTACAGGCACACGCCACCACATCCAGCTAATTTTTTGTATTTTTAGTAGAGATGGGGTTTCACCATGTTGGCTAGGATGGTCTCGGTCTCCTGACCTCGTGATCCACCCGCCTCGGCCTCCCAAAGTGTTGGGATTACAGGCGTGAGCCACCGCGCCCAGCCCACCATCTCATTTTATAGCTGAGGACATGGAAACTCAGAGAGGTCAGCTACTTGCCTACAGTCACACAGGTCATAAGGACTAAGTTAGGACACCAGCCCATTTCTCAATGGTCCAAATTCCTCCCTCCCCAAGACATGCACACACATGCATATATGTATATAGGGATTCCACTGTTTTTTCTATCAGACTGGCTATCTTTGTTTCATTCAATCCTGACAACAGTGCCATTTCTTCATTTGATGAATATTTAGGAGCACCTATGTGTCAAGCCCTCTACTAAGCCTTGGGAGCTGGAAGTAAATGGGCACAGTGCCTTGCTGCAGATGTATGCAGATAGGTGGACAACAGATGAGTAGCTACAAGTGTGATGTGATTACCAACGGGAGAAAGGAGAGTGAACTCTGGGCACATGTAATCATCCCCCTTACATAGACAAGGAAACTGGGGTTCAGATACGTTAAAGACTTGCTTAAGCCTGGGCAACATAGTGAAACCCCGTCTCTACAAAAAATAAAAACAATAGCTGGGGCCGGGCGCAGTGGCTCAGCCTGTAATCCCAGCACTTTGGGAGGCCAAGGCTGGCAGATCATGAGGTCAGGAGTTCGAGACCCGCCTGACCAACATGGTGAAACTCCGTCTCTACTAAAAATACAAAAATTAGCCGGATGTGGTGACGCACACCTGTAATCTCAGCTACTCTGGAAGCTGAGGCAGGAGAATCGCTTGAAGCCGGGAGGTGGAGGTTGCAGTGAGCCAAGATTGCACCATTGCACTCCAGCCTGGGCAACAAGAGCGAAACTCTGTCTCAAAAACAAACAAACAAACAAAAAACAATAGCTGAGTGTGGTGGCCCATGCCTGTAGTCCTAGCTACTTGGGAGGCTGAGGTGGGAGGATCACTTGAGCCCAGGAGTTCAAGGCTGCAGCAAGCTGTGATCGCACCACTGCACTCCAGCCTGGGTAACACAGCAAGACCCTGTCCCTAAAATAAAAAAATATATATAAAAAGACTTGCTCAAAAATCACAAAACAAATAAAATAGCTAAAATTCATCATGCGCTCACTACATGCCAGGCATTTTTTTCTTTAACTCACTTAAATCCTCTTAACAACTCTGTGAGGTAAGCGCTATTATGATCTTCATTTTCCACAAGGAATCTGAGTCACAGACCATGAAAGTAACTTGCCTGAGGTGATAAAGCTAAGAAGTGGCTGAGTCAGGATCTGAACCTAGATCATCTAGCTATAGACCCTGTGTTCTTAACCCTCTGAATCCAGGTCTGACTCCACGGCTGCCTTCTCTGCAGGATGGGAGGCCGGCGGGGAAGCAGATTTACAGTGCCTGCCCATTGGGCATCCTGGGAACCCCCTCTGTGTGTAACAGTGATTGTCATGACTGAGAATCTGCTTCAGGAAGGCAAGGACCCAGTTCCCAGGCAGGGATGAGCTGCACGCAGCATCCAAGAGAGCAGCCCAGCTCTTAAAGCACCTCCTTGGATGTGTGGGGCTCCCTAAGTGTGGGCCTTAGCTCTCAGGAGATTAGAGAGAGAGTCATGCTTCCAGAATCTGAGACTTCCTAGAAGAAAACAACAGGTCTGCCGGCACTCTTATCTTACACCCATGGGCGCCGGGTCCAGGTACTCACATTCTAGAGAGGCCTCAGGTGCTCAGCGGTAGGGCAGGTGGCTGGGGTGGAGTCAGGAGCAGGTCCTTCACAACCTACTTGGCCCCAGGGGACGGTAACTTTAGAGACTCAAAGGGAGCCAGAAAGAGTCCTCTATGTAAGAGTTCCTGCAGCTCAAGGCCTCAGAGAGAGAGACGTAGGTTAAAGTCCTTTTCTGGAGACCAGGGTGGGGACAGGGGCATAGGTTACCAAACATCACTGGGGAATACGTGACTTCTAAGCCACCACTTGGTGAATGTCTTGCATTTTTTGGAGTTGTTTAAGAAAAGTTAGAGACTGTGTTCACTTGTATCATCTCAGGTAAGCCTCACCATAAGCCCATGGCCTTTCAACTGTAAAAGGAGAATTACACACATCTTCGAACAAGGTGACAGCCAAAATGAGATCACATATGGAAAAAATTTCACGTTTACCCTTTCTTCACAAAGTTGTTAGATTTCATGAAAATGCTTTAAAAGCTATAAAACACTATGAAATGTTATCTTTTCCTATTTTATTTGGTTCTAATTAATTTCAAATTCTGAGGCTAGCCTCAAAATGCCTACTTTCTTTGACTAACATATTATTATAGTTTTATCATCTGCCTATTTATCTAAGTCTTCTCTGGAGGCAGTTAAGTTTTTAGCCTTTATGTCTTATGATAATGAGCTGCTAAGTTTACCTTATTTATTTTTATATTTTGAGACAGAGTCTTACTCTGTTGCCCAGGCTGGAGTGCAGTGGCGCAACCTCAACTCACTGCAGCCTCTGCCACCTGGGTTCAAGTGATTCTCCTGCCTCAGCCTCCCGAGTAGCTGGGACTACAGCGCATGCCACCATGCCCAGCTAATTTTTGTATTTTTTCAGTAGAGTCGGGGTTTCACCATGTTGGCCAGGCTGCTCTCGAACTGCTGACCTCATGTGATCCTCCCACCCAGCATCCCAAAGTGCTGGGATTACAGGCTAAGTTTACTTTAGAATTTAAGAAGTTAAATGATTCTGTTTTCAATTATACATGTATATCTTTATAGTTTCAATATCATATTTATATGTGTGTGTATATTTCTTGACTTGAAAGCTAGACTCTAAACTCCCAGAAGGCTTGACCTATGTCTAGTTCTTAGCTATAATTAGCATTTATTGAGCATTTTTCTATGTGCTGAGCACTATTCTAAGGGCCTTACGTGGATTAACTAATTCAATCTTCCCAACAACCCTATTAATATTAATAGTACTAGTATGACCCTTCTTATACACAGAGAGGTTAAATAACAGGCTGGGTTGGTGAACCTGGGCTTCTAAGCCGAGCAGCCTAGCCCCAGAGTTCCTACTCTTAAGCTCTACTCTGCTGGCTCCCTTTGAACCCCTCACTCAGAGCCGTGCATCTAAGAGACACTTGGAAATGTTTGTCGGTTTCATTTAAGGCCATTGTGTAACCCGAGAAATAAGGCTTAGAGATGGGAGATAATTGCATGCGTCAGGAATGCTTTTAGCTGCAAGTAACAGAAAACCTGACATGTAGAGGCATAGGCAATAAAGACATTTCTTTTTCTCACATAGCAAGAGTCTAGGTGTTTCCAGATTTGGTGCAATGAGAGGTTTGCTGTCAAGGATCAGGTCACTCTTTGCCATTCTTTCCTGTCATTCTTAGATTATTGGCATTTTGTTATCATGCTCAATACTATACTGTCTGTATTAGTCTGAGTTCTTCAGAGAAACAGAACCAATAGTAGATGATAGATAAATAGATAGATAGATGTACATGCAAGTATAGCTACAGATTTACTATAAGGAATTGGCTCACTGGATTATGGAATCTGAGAATTCCAGGATCTGCTGTTGGCAAGCTGGTGACCCAGGAGAGCCAATGGTGTGAGTCCCAGTCTAAGTCCAGAGTCAGGAGGAGACTGATGTCCTAGTTTTCAACACACCTGCTAATAAAAATTATTAATTACTCATTCACTGATTTCCCACACTATCTAACATTTCCATATGATGAAACTTCGGCTCACTCCTTGGTGCCTGCCTAATCCTTCAGATCATTACAGGATTATTCTTAGCCATGCACTACACATCAGACACTTCAACTGCCTTCTCTTCAGTCACTCATATCAGCTGAGATGTAAACTACGGCTGAATGGTCCGCTATTTTCATGCTAACGATGCTTCAATATTTTTCATCTGCCTCTTCTTACATGTTGGTGGAGGTTTATACTATGGATCATTTACATTTCTAGAAACCTGAAATATTGGCATTATCCTCCTACTCACAACTCCTACTTCAACAGGCAGGCAGGGAGAGCGAATTCTCCCTTACTCAGCTTTTTATTCTATGCAGGCCTCCAGCAGATCTGATGAAGCCCACCCACAATGGCTCAGGCAACCTGTGTTACTCAGTCTATAGATCCAAATGCAAATCTCATCCAGAAACACCCTTACAGTCATACCCAGAATAACGTTTAATCAGATGTTTAAACACCTGTAGCCCAGTCAAGTTGACACATAAGATGAACCATCTTGCTGTCCCAACTTGACTGCCACAGGTGGAGGCATCATGTCAATGTCAGGTCAGGATGACGGGGTCGTGCCTGGTGGCTCTTCTCCTCTCAGGCCTCCTCCTTTAAGACACTTTGCCAGAAGTCCTTAGCAGATTTCTGTGTTGGCCTCATTGACCAGAATTGGGTCACGTGTCACTAGCACTAGCTACAAGGGAGCCTGGCAAGATTGAATATCTGGATTTCCACCCTCTGCAATAGAAAGAGACAAAAGAGAGGAAGGTTGTAGTTGTTGGGTTAGCCAACCCACAGCATTTATCAGAGCAGCCTGTGCAAAGTCACAGAATCAGTAGTAGGAACAGAATTAGGACCCTTGACTGTTTTCTTCTTCTATAATATGTAAAAGAGAAGGACATTTTATTCTCTAGGCTACAATTTGGTGACTGAAGCCTTTACTCCACAGTTCTCCAATTTCTGTTTCTTAGCAGTGATTCACCAGGCCCTTGCTCTCAGTTTATTGCGTAGAAGACATAAGTATTACAAGGTGAAGACTTTCAGAGGATAAATGACACACAAGTAGGCCAGTAACAGGGTCCCAGGATCTTGTCTACCCTAGAACAAGACTCGATCCAGTTGGACCAATGCTTATTGAGTGTCCACTGTCTGATTGTCATAGTATAGGCTGTGATAACATTGCAAGAAAGAAGGTACCATCATCTGTGCTCTTGATGAGCTCACAGCTTGGTGGAAAACCAAGTTGTGAAACAAATGTGCACTGTTGAAGGACTGAGGGCCATGAGAGAGGAATGTATGTGATACAGTGAAGCCCAGCAAGGGACAGGCCAGCTCACTGCCATGTTCAAAGAAGGCTTTCTTTGCGAAGAAGGGGATATTGAAGCCAACTGGAAGGATGAGTGGGTATTTTCCAAGCAGACAAAATAGAGGAGGGCATTCTATTCCAAAGGAATAGCATATACAGCATGTGGAGGTGTGGACCAGTTGGGTTTGCTCAGGTCTTACCAGACTCTGGAGTGAAAATGCTCCTTCCCCACACGTGGACAGTCACTCAGCTACAAAGTGCTTATGCAAGTGTTCTCTTATTGGAGTTCCTTAATTCCTAATCTCCACTTACTGCCAAACTCTACTGATTTTTAAGACTCTACTGAAGGGTTGACTCCTGCAGGAGACAATATCCTGGGCCCCTGTTACTGTGTCAACTGACAAAGGCTCCTTTCTCTGTTCCTGTGGTGTCCTCACCATTTTCCTTACCATGTTGGCAATGTCTCTGTCTATGTGAGTCTCTTCCAGGGCTCCATGAGCTCCGTGACAGCAAAGAATGTGTCTCATGCATCTCCACAGCCCAGTGCCTACGGCAGTGCCAGGTATCCAATTAATCCCAATGTATAGTTGAGGAATGGAGTGAATGGATAAGTCCTGGGAGGGGGGCAGAGCAAACATTGATTATTCTCATACGCAAATGGAGGAAGTGCAGATGAAGAAGGGTCAGAGTGTTGGGCCCCTGGTCATAAAAGTGAGAGCGAGACTAGAACCCAGGCAAGCTGACCCTGATTCAGATTCTTTCTATTCTACCATGTTGCCTCCAGAGGAAGCAGGGCCCATCTTTTTAATTTTATAGGGTCCAGAAATAGATTCCAGACTATCAGAATTCTTGGGCATTTCCTGGTTTCTTCTTCTCCCAAGCTTCTCTTTATGGTCCTGATTCTCATATTCTCTAAGCTTCTCCTCTCTTTTTCCCTTAAATTCACTTCTCTAAGTTTTTACAATTCACTCATTCACCTAGCCTACCCCAGAAATAGGTAGCTTCCCCCAGATAATCTCCAGGCTTCAGCAAACTGGCATTCATGCAGCCTCCCTGATAACCCAGGGACAAAGAACTCTTCATCCTCTCCCTTGCTAAGACCTACAGCAGAAGACTGGAGATGGGAGATGGGTGGGAGGTGATTCTGGGGCTGTGGGTGGCTGTGGTATCCAGTTTATATGTCCACCTAGCAGAATTGAATTCCTAGATCACCTCTTTAAAATAGATCTCTCCAATACTATACTTTCAAGGATCAGAAATACATCTCTCTCTCCCATGCTGGTACCAGTGTCTGGTTTTTACTACTTAGAGTCTCGTTTCCTTCACAGCACTCATCACAATTTGTAATAGCATGTATGTGTTTACATAGGTTTTGGGTTTTGTCTGTTCCCACACTATCCTACAAAACCAAGGATCACGTCTATCCCATTAACCTCTGTATCCTCAGCTCCCAGCACACTGCCTAGAATAGGTGCAGAGCGTGTATTTGTTGAATAAGACAATGACTGTGCACAGGGTGGCTTTTTTATTTTTTATTTTTATTTTTTGAGATGGAGTCTCACTCTGTTGCTCAGGCTGGAGTGCAGTGGCGTGATCTCAGCTCACTGCAACCTCAGCCTCCCGGGTTCAAGCACTTCTCCTGCCTCAGCCACCTGAGTAGCTGGGATTACAGGCGTGTGCCACCATGCCTGGCTAATTTTTTGTATTATTTTATTAGAGATGGGGTTTCACCATTCTGGCCAGGCTGGTTTTGAACTCCTGACCTCATGATCCGCCCGCCTCGGTCTCCCAAAGTGCTAGGATTACAGGTATGAGCTATGCGCCCAGCCAGCTTTTTATTATTATTATTATTATTATTATTATTAGCTAAAAAGGAATCTTGAAACAATACCTGGTCTCCAAATAATACCTTTTATATAGACCTGGAATTTACTTCCAATTGTCTGATTTCCTCTGGTCCTCACAGCAGTTCTGTGAGGAAGGTATTAAGGTTCCTAGTATTAAGGAAGGAAGCTGAGGCTCAGAGGGCTTAGTAGCTTTCTTAGAGTCACATTAAGACAGGAAAAGGGGGCTGAATGAGTTATACGGAAGTATGTATTGAGCACCTGCTGCCTGCCTTGGTGTGCGTGGCCCTGAAAACAGGTCCGTATATTAGGCATTGCCATCGCTATGGTGTAATTTTTACAGATAAGCAAACTGAGGCACAGTTTAAGCACCTTGCTTAAGCAGGAATGGCTGGTCCAGGATATGAACCGAAGTCGGATGGCAAGCTCATTGGTTTCCACTATTATCATTTGCAAAGAAATCTGGATGTGAAGAATTCTATAAATCCTCAGAGAATGCTGAGCGCTCTTCAGACCTCCTTACAGAGAAGAGGGAATCACTCAGTGGCTGGAGTGGGATGTGGGAAGACCTGGGAAAGTACAAAGAAGTGACAGGATTCAGAAGCCATGGGAAGTATCAGAAAAATCCATCAGGGCTCAGCACAAGCAACAGAAAGTGTTGTAGGGATTTTATGCAGAAAGGTGCTTAAGACGTGGCTTTAGGTTTCGAGAATGTCATCAAAAGGACTGGAGAAGTGGCCTCCAGGAAGCTTCTGAGCCCTGCAAAATTGACCCCCCCAGATGGCCAACGTGTCAATTCAAGAGCCCTCTGCCATAGCTGGGATTCAGAAAGCAAAGTCTGGAAGCTGCTGCCACCTCAGCTCCTCGTTGGTACCTAAGAAACTGGAGCAGGGCCCTGGACAGAAATCACAATCCCATGCAGTTAGGTCTTCAGGAACTTGTCTGCATGCAGGGAACAGCCAAAGAGGTGGGAGGTGATTGTGGTCTCAGTTCTGCCTCCCAGAGTCCAGCAAGTGCTTCCAGTTGGCTGAATCTGGTATTGTTAGGCTCCCAGCTGCAAGGGGGTCTAGGAAATGAAGTTTTTACCATTGCATCCTTTGCAGTCCAAGAGGACACGCTAGTAGGGAGGTGCAGTGCCAGCCAAATGAGCATCCATCCCAGGAGACACAAGGGAAGCTCTCTCTCTCTCTATATATATAGTTATTATAAATCAATGAAGATGGATATTCTAATCTAAAAATAAGCAGTAGATATAAACAGGCAACTTGCCCAAAAGAAGAAGTGGCGTGTGAAAAAACAGGTTAAAAATGTGCTAAATCGGCCGGGCGCGGTGGCTCACACCTGTAATCCCAGCACTTTGGGAGGCCGAGGCGGGCAGATCACGAGGTCAGGAGATCAAGACCATCCTGGCTAACACGGTGAAACCCTGTCTCTACTAAAAATACAAAAACTTAGCCAGGCGTGGTGGCATGCGCCTGTAGTCCCAGCTACTTGGGAGGCTGAGGCAGGAGAATGGTGTGAACCCGGGAGGCGGAGCTTGCAATGAGCCAAGATCATGCCACTGCACTCCAGCCTTGGTGACAGAGCGAGACTCTGTCTCAAATAAAAAAAAGGTGCTAAATCAGGCCAGGCACAGTGGCTCAAACCTGTAACCCCAGCATTTGGGGAGGCTATGGTGGGAGGACTGCTTGAGCCCAGGAGTTTGAGACCAGCCTGGGCAGCATGGGAAAATGCTCTATAAAAGATACACAAATTAGCCAGGAAAGGTAGCACACACCTGTAGTCCCAGCTGCTTGGGAGGCCGAGGTGAGAGGATTGCTTGAGCCTGGAAGGTTGAGTCTGTAGTGAGCTATATTTTTTCCACTGTACTCCAGCTTTGGCAACAGAGTAATAACCCTGTCTCAAAAAAAAAAAAAAAAAAAAAAAGCAGCTAAATCTCAATAATTACCCAAGAACAAATGGAGGAAACCACGAAATTTTTTTTTAGGATAAAAAAAAATTAAAGATCAATTTAATGTTGCTCAGAGTAGGTGAAACTGGCCATCTAGTAAAGTATTGATAAACATGGAAATTAATACAAATATTCTGAGAGAACAACATACCTTTATACATTCAAAGCCTTTGATTCAGTAAGTAAATTCCCTACTAATGACTTTTGATAAAAAGTTAGGAAAATCCAAAAAGATATAAAGGCATTTTCCCCAGAAGTCTTTGTAATATATTTTTTAAAATCTAAATGCCCAACAACTGTGAAATACTAGATACTCAATAAAAAGATCTAAAAGTTTATATTTTGGCATGCAAAGATCCCTGGATACAGTCAGTTTTAAAAAGATTACAGAATGGCATATATGTATAATTCTATTTTATTTACAAATATATGCGTTGATTTGTTTACATACTGAAAATATGAGAGGGAACACATTGACGTGTAAACATTATCTTTACATCCTGGGACTACTGCGTTTATCCTCTTCTTTATACCTTGCTGTGCTATTTGATTTTATTTTCTTTAAATAAGCACATGTCACATTTATTAACAGAAAAATTCCTATAAAAGGTTTTTTGTTTTTTTTTTTTCCTTGTGGAGGAAAACTTGGGCCCTGAGAAGCTCATTCTACCCTTACCCCATTCCGGAAGCTTTAGAAAGCAAACCCTTCCAAAGCCCCCCTGAAGCAAGAGTGTTTAGAACCCAGGAATGGAGCTGGGGGCAAAGGTGAGTAATTATAGTTGGGGCAAGAGGAGTGGTGAGGAGGGAGATGAGCTAATTTTAGCCTTCCTGATAGAGAGTTATTCCAAGATCCCTACACTCCTTTTGCACATGTTTAGCTCTGTCCTGCGGCCTCCACCCCAGTGACTGCAGGGCTGACACAGGCACTAATAGACTTCAGATTGTAACAAAATGCTTGAGATCTCTGCTGCTTTAAATAGAGGTGTTTGGCACCCTTTGGGATGCCATGTCTGGCAAAGTTGGGCTCCTCAGCACTCACCCTACTTTGAGGCCCAGTGATGAGACCGATTAGAGGGCCAGCTTTCCCTTCAACCTCAATGTGGCTAAGGCAGAACTCATCATCCCTTAAACTGGGCAATAGAGATCAAGTATCCCTCATCTGAAATGCTTGAGACCAGAAGGGTTTTTGATTTCAGATTTTGGAATATTTGCATTATCCTTAGCAGTTGAGCAACCCTAATGAAAAAAATCCAGAATGCTCCAGTGACCATTTCCATTGAGTGTCATGTCAGTGCTCCAAAAGTTTTGAATTTTGGAGCATTTCAGATTTCAGGTTTTCAGATTTGAGATGCATGACCTGTACCTCCTGCCCATGAAGTCTTCCATCTCAAATCCTGGGGGCGTCTTGCATTCCTGCTTCACCTCCTCTGTTATTTAACCTTTTTCTTCCTTCTCCTTCTCCTCTGTTAAACATCACTGATCATCAGGAAAATGAAAATACAAATTATAATGAGATGTCAAATTAAAAAGACTGACAGTCGAATCTGTCAGCGAGGCTGTAGAGTAACTGTAACCCTCCTACATTGCTGTTGGGGATGTAACGTGGTACAGCCCCTTTGGAAAATAGTTTGGCAGTTTCTTATAAAGTTACATATATAGGCACTATATGATCCAATCATTCCCCTGCTAGACTTTTCCCCAAGAGAACATGAGTTAGAACAGATTCTTAAAGCATACTGTGTGGGCCCTTTATGGAATCATATAACTTTATCTCTAAGTGACCTTAAAAATAATAACATCTAGAATAATAGTTATATCTTATTTAGTGTCTACTAAATGCCAGTCATGTTACATACATATGCTTTCCTAAAACATCCCTAGGGATGGTAATATCTTGAGACTCAAATAGCCACTCGACAGAAGCAGATATCCAAAAATAGCCAACAAGCATGTGAAATGATATTAAACATCATTAATCATCAGGGAAATAAAAATAAAAACTATAATGAGGTATTGAATTAAAAAGACTGACAGTACAAACTGTCGTTGAGGCTGTGGAATAACTAACTTTCCTACATTGCTGGTGGGGATGTGACGTGGTGCAGCCTCTTTGGAAAATAGTTTGGCAGTTCCTTATAAAGTTAAATATATAGGCACCGTATGAGCCAACCATTCTCCTCTAGACCTTTCCCCAAGAAAAATGAAATATGTTATCTAAATGACTTTTATAAGAATCTTCATAGCAACTTTATTCATCATAGCCCCAATCTGGAGACAACCCAAATGCCTGTCAACTCGTGAACAATAAACAAAATGTGGTACATGCACATAAGGGAATGCTTCTTGGGGATAAAAGGGAACAAACTACTAAGAGATGTATATTAGTTGTCTACAAACTTATCAGCTTCAAACAACACATATTTATTATCTCACAGTTTGTGGGGGCCAGGGGCTGGGCATGGCTTAGCTGAGTCTTCTGTAAGACTGACATCAAGATTGTCATCTGGGGCTCAGTTCTTATCTGGAAGCTCAACTGGCAATGGAACCACTTCCAAGCTCGCTTGGGTTGTTGGCACAAGTCATTTTTCTTGTGACTGTGAGATTAAGGGCCTTGGCTTCTTGCTGGTTATCAGCGGGAAGTTGCACACAGTTCTTTTTTTTTTTTCTTTTCTGAGACACGGTCTCGCTGTTGCCTAGGCTGAAGTGCAGTGGAGTGATCATAGCTTGCAGCAGCCTCAAACTCTTGGGCTCAAGTGATCCTCCCACCTCAGCCTCCCAAGTAGCTGGGACTACAGATGTGCATCACCATGCCCGGATAATATTGTTTATTTTTGGTAGAGATGAGGTCTCACTATGTTGCCCAGGCTGGTCTTGAACTCCTGAACTCAAGCGATCCTCCCACCTTGACCTCCCAAAGTACTGGGATTACAAGCATGAGTCATGTGGGCCTTTCCATGGGTCTTTCTATAACATGGCAGCTTGTTACTTCAAAGCAAGGGAGAACAAGAATACATCTGGGAGCAAGACTGAGACTTATCTGACGTAGCATTATCATGGGGTGCCAACCCATCTCCTTTGCCGTATTCAGCAAACCAGTCACAGATCCCACCCCCTCCGGGGGAGAAGCATGTAAGGGCTTGAACATGAGAGGCAGGGTCCTGCGGGCTGCCTTCCAGTCCATACTTGGCAGCACGTAACTATGCAGACAAATCTCAAAGCCATTATGTTGAGGAAAAAAAGACTAGAGACAAAAGAGTACACATTTCATGATTCCACTGACATGAAATTCTAGAACAGGCAAAACTAATCCATAGTCACTGAAACATCAGTGGTTGCCCAGGGCCAAGGGAATAAGGGGCAGGGGATTGACAGTAGAGGGACACAAGTCACCTGTGAAGGTGATGAAAGTATATCTTTTATTTGGCATGATGATTATATTAGTGTTACATATGTCGAAGCAAATCAAACTACGTTTCAAATGGGTGCATTTTATTTTATGCAAATCATGCCTTTATAAAGTATATATTTTTAAATGGCTCTATGAATTGCACATTTTTATCCCCTTTTTACCGATGAGGAAACTGAAGCTCAAAACGTGTCCAGAGTCGCACAGCTGGGGGAGCCGGGATCCTAAGCCAGGTCTAACTGCAAAGCCCCTTCTCTTTTCCTTTATGCATGACCCCTAATTCTCCTCGAAGCTGCCATTTTCACAGGGAGAAACGCAAGGCTTGGAGAGCTAGAGAAACATTCTCACGACCTCGCAGAAGTGACTGAGTTCTCAAGCTTATGTGTTCTGATTCCAGGTCAAGGGGTTGCCAGACCTCATTAAAGTCTTGTAGCAGATTTTAAGAGTTACTATTGCATTTTTAAAATTTACCCATGTGTGTCATTGTAAACACACTTAGCAATATTGTTCTTTAAAACACACAAGCTTATGAGCCAGTTCTTTACAAGAACAACATATGGCTGTCCATGAAAATAAAGGTTTCGGAAGGTGTGCTGTCTACTGTTGGTTGCCCGCCTTCTTTCATGCTTGCCAAATCCTGAGTTTATTCAGCTGTTTGGTGGCCATGTGCTTCAAGGAAACATAGGCCCCTTTCTGGTGCCATGAGGTGAATCCTGGTTCGTTTCAGCCAGCTGTGGTCATTCTGTTCCCACTGGGAAAGGTGTTTAGAAAAGGGAATATGGGCCTGGTGCAGTGGCTCATGCCTGTAATCCCAGCACTTTGGGAGGCAGAGGTGGGCGGATCACCTTAAGTCAGGAGTTCCAGACCAGCCCAGCCAACATGGTGAAACCCCATCTCTACTAAGAATACAAAAATTAGCTGGGCATGGTGGTGGGCGCCTGTAGTCCCAGCTACTCGGGAGGCTGAGGCAGGAGAATCGATTGAACCCAGGAGGTGGAGATTGTGGTGAGCTGAGATCGTGCCACTGCATTCCAGCCTGGGCAACAGAGCGAGACTCTATCTCAAAAAAAAAAAGGAAAGGGAAGATGATGCAGTTCTGACCAGGGAGGCCTGAGATGTACCTGCCGGGAGGATTCTGGAACATCCACCATGCTTCTTAAAAGCGACACAAGAAAGAGACTCTTTTTCATAGGCATGAGGGTATGGCCCGGGGCACCAGGGTGGCTCACTGATAACGTGAAGGAACAGTATGAGAACAAAAGTCCATCCTTGAGAACAAGAGTCAGAAGGACACAAAACATTTAGATCCTTGAGTCTGACATTGAGCCTCTGATTTACTCGGCCCTGTGATTGCCCTAGCTCAGTGATATGAGCTCATGCATTTTCTTTATTGATTTAGTCATCACTGTTATTTGCAGCCAAAATCATCTTCATATTCAGAAGATATAAGCAGATACTGTCAAAAGTCTTTTTTTTTTTTGCACCCAACTCCATGGTGCATAAAATTCTTATGAATGCTTTTATACATGACATTCCATTCAAAATTAGTGGCAGGCAATTGAAATTATACACTATGTAAGTGTTAAGATTAGTTTCATTCTCGGAAGTGTTTGTTAATAGCTAAAGCTTAGAAACAACCTAACTGTCCATCTGTAGGGAACTGGTTAAATAAATTACGGTCGAGCCACATAATGAGATACAATTATAAATAAAGAAGCATCTCCATTTGTACTGATATGAAATGATTTTCTTTTCTTTTCTTTTTTTTGAGACAGTCTCGCTCTGTCGCCAGGCTGGAGTGCAGTGGCGTGATCTTGGCTCACTGCAACTTCCGACTCCCTGGTTCAAGCTATTCTCCTGCCTCAGCCTCTTGAGTAGCTGAAATTACAGGCACGTGCCACCACACCCAGCTAATTTTTGTATTTTTAGTAAAGACAGGATTTCACCATGTTGGCCAGGATGGTCTGTCTCCTGACCTCGTGATCCGCCCGCCTTGGCCTACCAAAGTTCTGGGGGTTACAGGAGTGAGCCACCGCACCCGGCCACGAAATGATTTTGAAGATATGCTACTTTGAAGAAAAACAAGTTAGAACAGTATACAGGAGACTTTGAAATCCAAGGTCATAGAAAAACATCTGAAGTTTATTGCCTCAATTCTTTATGTGGATTGGCTTATGTGATCCTCTTAGCAACACTCTGAAGTACATGTTATTGTTACCATTCTCTTTTTGAAAGATGGGTAAACTGAGGCATGGAACTGTTAACTAGTGTTCCTGGGATCCCACAGTTGTTTAGTGGTAGAACTGGGGCTTGAACCCAAAGTCTGTGCTCTAAACATGCAATCAATTGACCCCTGGGGCTATTGGAAGAATTAAATGAGCTCTTGTGTGCTTAGCCAGTGTTGGCCTTAACCAGTAGTTCTCAAAGGGTAGTTCATGCTCCAGCAGTTTTAGAAATTTGTTAGGTGTGTATTTGTTGGGAAATGTGTTAGCTTAGAAACGTTTCCCAGGTTCGGCCAGACTTTGTTTTACATGGTAGCTGCATGCTGACGTGTTTCTTGGCTGGTATGAGTATATGAAGTCCCACCTAGCAGGGGAAAGAATAAGTCCCAGCTAGAACTTGAGGAAACATACCTAAGTGTTGTTACCACCTTGCTTTCTTGTCCAGCAGCCATTGATTGGCCACCACTATGGACTCAGCAGGAAATTATACTGTAATCAGTGATGTCTGATGTGGGCTTAGGAGATACCAAGATTCTACTACCACTCTGAGGCCGGCTGTTGGATCTGTACACACCAAAACTTGCCAACTTATTCCCCTCATCAAACTTAGCTACGCCATAGGACAGGAATCTCAAACCCTTTCCTTCCTTGGTGCATTTCACATAATAGATGCTCAGTAAATGTGCACTGAATGGAGATATCATCACAGTTCACCTGGTAGCAGCTATCTTTTTTTAAAAAAGAGAACCTAACAGGAGTTCTCAGCCTTGGCTGCACATTCCAATTACTTAGAAAGCTTCTAAAAATCTCCAAACCCAGGTGGGCACTTCAGGTCAATTCTATCAGAATATCTAGGGGCAGAGAAGAGGAGGAAGAACTAGTTTTGAGAGCTCCTTGGGTGATTCCAATGTACAGCCAAGATTGGCGAGCCACTAAACTAGAATGAGGAGGGTTGATCTGACAGCTGCCAAACCAGTAAACACACACAGCCCCAGACACAGTGGGTAAAACCCAGAGGGCTTTCTAGAAAGCTGCTCCTACCCTCTGCTTCTTTTGATGGGCATCCGACTGAGCTGGAAGCCATCAAGATCCTGTCTTAAGAGGTTCCCAGTTTCCTGTCCACAGTGGAGGGTGCAGCTGGAAGCATTTATGCTGGAAGCCCTTACTGGGTTATGGTCCTAAAAATTACTGCCATATGTCTCCAGCAGGGAGGGCAGGGTCCACATTTGTTCCCTGCACCCTCTGCAGCCTCTTTATGTAGCTGCTCAATACTCACCCATGGGGGCCCCCTAAATAGCTCCCTTTAGTTTCATAATTTTATTGAGCTTCTAGATTCCTTGCAATTGGCCAGACCCTGGAAATTCAGATATAAATTCAACATCACCACTCGCTGGTGGAGTTCACAGCCTGGAGGGGGAAATGGGAAGTAAATCAACTGCTAGGATGTGACACAGTCAGGGCCTGGTGGAGAATAGTTCAGAGAAGCAAGGGCTTAGAGGAGCTGGTTGGGGGGCGGGGGGACTTCAGAAGCCTTCTGAGGAGAAGTGGTAATAGCGCTGAGGCTTTTTTATTGTTTTCTTTTTAAATATTCATATACATATTGCAAAGTTCGGAATAATCTTACACATAGATAGTTGAACACACTACTTTGACAAATATTAACATTTTGCCATGTTTGCTTCAGATCCTAAAAAAAAAAAAAATTCTGAACTATTTTAAGGCTAGAAAAAGTACAGAGAATAATTTAGCAAACACTCATAAACTAAGGTGGTTAAGACACCCGCTCTGGAGCCAGGCTACTTGCATCTGCCGTGTGACATTGGAGAGGCTGCTTGTCCTCTCTGTGCCTCTGTCTCGTTTAAACACACACTTCAAAGGGCAACTGTCAGGATCAATTAAGGTAATACTCTGAAAAATACAAGTTCCCAGCACTCTTAAATGCTAACTGTTGTTTCCCTTATGTTCACAACTGAGTTTGTCAAATCTTAACATTTAGCCGAATTTGTTTTAGATTTTTTTTAATGAAAAGAAATATAATACCATAGGTACTTTTAAGGACTCCTGTCTACACCCTTCCCTGCACTGATGACAGACAAAATGTTAGCCAGGCGGTCAGAGTGGGAAAGTCCATGTTAGAACATAGGGACAGGGAAGGCCCTGGCTTCTGAGGAAACCCTCTGATGTGGTCAGAAAGGAAGATGACCTGACCGATGGGCAGGGGAGGAGGCTGGAGAGGCAGCCGCAGCTTGTCAGGGAAGACCATCAGGCGTTTCACCTGACAGCCCAGGTCCCGTCACAGACAGACGTCACATCCTGCCCTCCCCTGTCTCCCAGGAAACCCTCGAGGTTCCTTTTTTTTTTTTTTTGAGACAGAGTCTCGCTCTGTCGCCAGGCTGGAGTGCAGTGGCATGATCTCGGCTCACTGCAGCCTCTGCCTCTTAGGTTCAAGTGATTCCCCTGCCTCAGTCTCCGAATAGCTGGGACTACAGGCACATGCCACCATGCCCAGCTAATTTTTGTATTTTTAGTAGAGACGGGGTTTCACCATATTGGCCAGGCTGGTCTCGAACTCCTGACCTCAGGTGATCTGCCCTACTCGGCCTCCCAAAATGCTGGGATTACAGGCGTGAGCCACTGTGCCCGGCCTCAAGGTTCCTTTTTCACATCTTTCCTTTAAAAAAAAACAACTATCAAACAATGGATAAAATAAAGAAAGCTCACCCACTCTTGCCCCTCAACCTGGAAAATTCCATCCTGTGTCAGCTAGCTTTGAGGGAAGATGGAGAACCTAGGGAACCAGCGAGAAGTGGCTGGGCCACCTGAGATCAGCGCCACCTGGGTGCTCTGGGGGCGGAGATGGGTGATTTAGGGCTGTGGCCCAGGCAGGAGCGTTTAGCATCTTTTGGGCCCAGCTTCTCAGTCTTGCACTGAGGAAGCAGCTTGGGAGGGGGTGCCCTACCAGGCAGATATTTCCTGCTGAGCGAGCTGATAAGTGAGCCCTCTGACTAGTTCAATAGTTAACCCGACAGAGCACAGATGTGGCCTGTCAGACAGAGATATGTGTGGGGAAGGCCTTGGGTATAAGTACATATTAGCGCCTGGCCTGGGTTTGAAATGTGCTCTCCCATCACCCCTCGGCAGTACCATCATTTTTCATCTCAAAATGGGCTTTCCCCTTCCCCCACTCCTCTCTCCTCCACTCCACTGCCCCAGCATCCGTTCCAGCCGCTGCCGAGGAACAGCTGCTCTGAGGCCCATCTCTCATCAGCTGCCTTATCTCTCCGATGAATAATGTTCCCCTTCCCCGAGCAGCAGCCTGGCAGGAGGCCCGCCCCAGCGCTGAGCAGGCTGCTGACAGCGCTGGAGCTCAGGCAGCTGTCGGAGAGCAGGGCTGCCCCAGGCCACCACGTGGGTGAGGGCTAACCCCTCTGCCTCCCGGCGACATGCCACTTGAGGCCCCATTGCCCTGGCGAGCTGCAGCTCACAAACTCAGCCTTTCCAAGCACATCTCAGCAGCCCCTGGGTGCAATTGCCATGCTGGGTGCTGGGGAAACAGGCATTTCAGACATGGGCCCTGTCCTTCAGTGGCGAGGGCTGTTTACGAGACGCGCAACTTGTACCTAACAGTTCAGACCTCTGTATTTAGTAGTTCTTAGGAACATATTAACTACTCCAGGTTTCAGTTATCCTCATCTGCAAAATGGGCTAGTAATAGTGGAGTGTAAATGCTGGTCAGTTCTCTGCTCACATCCTCTTTGCCAGCCAGTGCCCCCAGCGGCTCCAGGTGTCATGGTAATGCTGTACCCGTGGCCTTCTCCATTTCTTGGGCTGATGGTAACTGCATCCCTGAGACGGCTGAGAGGGTAAACCCTCTCCACCACCACCCACCAGGGGGTCAGTGACTGATTGCTCTTGGGGATACAGAAGCCCAGCGCTCTTTCCTCAAAGTGGGACAACTCCATGGCACTGTTTTTGCCCCAGAGCCCCCCTGTAGACCAGGCCAAGGCCAGAGCTTCTCTAAGACAATATCCCTCCTTGGCTTCTTCCCCTTCCTTGAGCTACCACCGTCACCCCTCACAGTTTTCCTGAAGAGGACTCCCTCCATGAGTCACTGGCTTGCAAATCCCTACTTTAGCCTCCACTTCTAGGGAACCCAGCCCAAGAGAAGTAGCTACTTTACAGGGGTTTGGGGTGAGGATGCTATGAGATCATGTTGAAATGCCTTTTGCAAGCATCTGGCACTCAGCAAGTACCCAATAATGAGTAATCGTGATTCTTACAAACCAGTAACACCTGACAGAATGTAACAGGGGAGCTCAGATGCACAGCTACAGTGGGAGGTGGGAGTCAAAAACCTTGGCTTCAAGTTCTGGCATGGGAGACAATCATCCCAGGAAGGTCCCCCAGGGGTCACATAGCCCAACTCTCCTTTGACCAATCGGGAACCTGAAGCTGAGAGAGGAGAAGCAACAATCTCAAAGACACAAGAGCAGAGCTGGGACTAGAAGATGTCTTGATTTTTCCCACCACTCCTCATTATTTTAACCACTTTCTGATCCTCTGTTTTCAGTTATTTTTTTAAAAGGGTTGTTGACTTTATATGGACCAGGACTCTGAGAAGAGAAGCCATTTCCATGTGGATCCCTTGAGTACCTACTATGTGCTTAACACCGGCTAGGTACTCAGGGAAGGGGTCACAAAAGTATATTCCTATCCTTACTGCTGTGGTCTGAATGCCTGTGTTCCTCAGAGTTCAAATGTTGAAATCCTAACCTTCAATGTGATGGTATTAGGAGATGAAGTCTTTGGGAAGTGATTAGCCATGAGGGCAGAGTTTTCATGGATGGGATTAATGCCCTTATAAGTAAGAGGCCCCGAGAGAGCTCCCTTCCCCCTTCGACTATGTGAGGACGCAATGAGAATGTGCCATCTACAAACCAGAAAGCAGGTCCCCCACCTCCCCAGCATCACATCAGCTGATGCCTTGGTCCTGGACTTCTTAGCCTCCAGAAATGTGAGAAATAAATTTTTGTTGTTTTTAAGCCACTCAGTTTATGGCATTTTGCTGTAGCAACTCCAAGTCTGTCTCTCCAGGATCTATAAATGTGCCTGGCACATATTAGTGCTCAATACATTTTTGTTAAATAAATGGAATAATTAATTAATCAGTCCGTGTCTTGGCAGATCCATGAAACTTTACCTCCCTGGGTAGAAAATCTGTTTAAGGGTATGTGATGCTCAGGCAGATCTTAAAGAGACTGCAGCTGCAGAGTTTCTAGACACTTAGAGATTGCAGAACACTTTACTGTTTTCAAAGACTGTTTTCAAAGTGTGTGTGTGTGTGTATGTGTGTGTCTGTGTGTGTGTTGGTTACCTTTATTTTTTTTAACCAGTCAGTATAGTGATTTTCAAAAATTTTTTAAGTGCATTGTCAACATTTAAGTAATTGAGAATTTCACATAAATACCCAGATTTAGGTATCTTTTGAAAAGTCACAAGGGCCATGCAGGACCCTCATTCCCACATGGCCATAATGGCTTAGACCTTAGACTGGGCCCCATTTGCTTATTCCTCACTCCTGGTTTCTCCCTCCTCATCCTCCACAGAGGCTTCCATTAGCTGCCCTTTGTCTTAGTGGTTGTGCCCTCCTACAGAAAAGTGAAATATACTTCATACTATTGAGTGACAAAATGAAAGATATGTGAAAGGACATGCCTGCTTCCAAAAAAGGTTGAAGAGAGCATTGTGGAAATGAAGGATATTCTTATGTGCTTTATATGAAAACAGAGAGTGTGTGTGAGAAGAGAAAACCGAAGAGGCCCACCTCACTCAACCATGGTGGTACCTGCTTGGCCCCCTGGGGTAGTGGCAGGGAAATCACATAACACTCAACACTCAGAAGTATGGACCCTGGACTAGGCTGGGGCTACAGAGAGGAATAAGATGAAGGACTTGTGTTGAGGATTTAGAAGCTGAAGGTCTGTTAAGGTGTCTCAAGCATGAGGCATTGGAGGAGAAAACCAGAGTGGAAATGAGGAGTGGAGAGTGTAGGGACCAATCCTAGACACTTCTGGAGGGAAGACTTAGCAGCTCTGGTGGCTCCATACTTAAGGAATGTCAGGGAGAAGAACTGCACATGACTTCAGGGTGACATACGCCCAGTTCCTGGGAGCACGACAGACCTTTAACAGAAGTCCTCAGATCCACTTTGGGGGAAGCTGATGACTTGGGGTCCAGTCACATTGAGTTGGAGGTGATGATGAGAGGTTCAGGGTGGTGGAAGGTTCTGGTTGCACGGTGATTGTGCACACGGACTTCGAAGCCCAAAGACCTGCACTCCAGTCCCAGGTGGACACCTTCTTGGCTGTGCTTCATCTCTCTATGCCTTTGTTTCTTGAAAAATAAAGCTATTATTATCGTATCTACCTTGTAGAGTTATCATGAGGATAAAGATAACATAAGTAAAATCCTAAAAATTATTCCTGGCACCAAGGAAGTGCTCTATAAATCTGAATCACTTTCATTATTGCCTATGAGGACAAGGTAAGGGAAGTCCCTGAATGGAGATGATTCCATGAAGCAGAGAACCAAAGATTGAGCCTTGGAGGAGCTCTTCTCTTGGAGAAGAGCTGTAGTTAGGGAGAAAACAGTGAAGGAGCTGGGAGTTGGGAAGCAAGGGCGGAGGGTGTCTTCGAGGCAAGGTGGAAAGGGTTTGCGGAGAAGGGGGACAGTGATCATGCCACAGAAGCCACAGAGGACAAGAGGAGCCCTGCAGCAGGGCTTCTCTAGCAGGGTGCATTTCCACCCAGGGGACACTTGGCAATGGTGGGAGACATTGCTTGTTGTCACAACTGGGCATGGGAGTGCTGCTGCGTCTAGTGGGTAGAGGCCAGAGATGCTCCTAATATCCTACAAGGCACAGAACAGCCCCCCACAACAGAGAATTATCCAGCCTGAAAATGTCCACAGTGCTGAGGTTGGGAAACCCTATTCTAGAGCCAACAGGCTGTGAAGCTTGACTCATGGTTCCATCACCAATAGCTGCGTGACCTTGGTGAGTTCCTTAGCTGCTCTGTGCCTCGGATTCATGGTAGGTTTTCCTTGTTAGGTTTAAATGAGTGAAGTTATACAGAGGGCCTGAAGTCTCATGGTATTTTACTAGAGCCTCATTGTGTTTTAGTTATAATTAGAAATTGGGTAAGGTAAGGACACAGAAGAAGCCATCTGATCTGGGGGCTTCACACTTAGAAGTGACCTCGGAGCAATTGTATTGGGGTGGAAAGGGACTAACAGCCAGGAGCAGAGGGCACATTGGAATTGGGGCCAGAGGGCACAGACTGCCTTGTCCATCAGGCATAGCAATGGACAGAGGAAGGGGAATGACTAGTTATGGCTGCAAGGCCAAGTACAGGGGACTTATTTCTCATATCTATCTATCTATCTACCTACCGTCTATTTATCTATCATCTATCTACTTATTTATCTATCTATTTATGCATGTGTACCAACCGAAAGTTTTAGTAAATGCACAAACTGCGATATAATGAAAATGGAAATTTTCAAAAGAAGAGAAATCACCTGCCACCTGACTACCTTAACAAATGAGTGGTTTTCATCTCTCCTTCCAGGCCTGTCATTTTTACAGTGCTTTAGTCATAAAACAGGTCCTCTATTCTATTGTTTTATGTCACATGAAATTGTACCATAAGCATTTTCCATGATGTGACTCCACTGTTTCATTTTCCATTTTTTTCCAGAATGAAGATAACCTCATTGTTTTTTTCCTGATTGTAAAAATGCTCTGTGCTCTTTTTTTTTTTTTTTAACAATGCAGGCAGTACCAAAAAGTATGAAGAAGAATGTAATAGTTCCCATTTCCCATCTCACTCTTTAAGGCCAGCATTTTGGTGAACATCCATCCGAACAAATCTCCACGCGTTTATCAATTTGTTGACTTACTCCTTCTTTTATGTAAATATGAACATGATTTAACTGCCAGTCCATTTGGAACCTTAAAGTGAAGGTTTTTTATTGTTGGGGTTTGCTATGGTCTGAATATGTGTGTCCCCCCAAAATTTATGTTGAATCCTAACGCCCAATGCGATTAGGAGGTGGGGCCATTAGGAGGTGATTAAGTCATGAAGTCATCAGCCCTAATGAATGGGATTTGTGGCCTTGAAAAGGGACCCCAGAGAGCTGCCTTGCCCCTTCTGCCATGTAAGGACACAGTGAGGAGCTAGGAAGGGGGCCTCAGCAGAGACCAAATGTGATGGTGCCTCGATATTGGACTTCCCAGCCTCCAGAATGTGAGAAATGAATTTCTGTTGTTTATAAGTCACCCAGTCTATAGTATTTTGTTCTAGCAGCCCAAACAGACTAAGTCAGGGTTGTTGTTTTAGGAAGTGGGGAATGGGGCCATGCATGGGTGTACGCCAGAACAAAGGAAGCCAGCAAGTCCTGAAAGATACTGGAAAAGGGAATAGTGGGCACGTGCAGTGTGTTAGTTTCCTGAGGCTGCTATAACAAAGCACCACAGGTTGGGTGGCTTAAATAACAGAAATTCATTCTCCCATCATTCTGGGGACCAGACGTCTGAAATCAAGACTCCTATGCCATGCTCCTTCTGAAGGCTCCAGGGGAGGATCCTTCCTTGCCACTCTCTAGTTCCTGAAGGTCACCAGCAATCCTTGAAATTCCCTGTATTATAGACACATCACTCCAATCTCTGACTCCCTCATCACATGGCATTCTCTTCCCCTGTGTGTGTCTGTTTCCGAATTTCCCTCTTCTCCTAAAGACATCAGTCATTGGGTTAGGGTTCACTCTCCTCCAGTGTGACCTCATCTTAACTTGATTATATTTGCAAAGGCCCTATTTTCCAAATAAGGTCACAGTCACAGGTACCAGTGCTTAGGACCTCGACATATCTTCCTGGGGGCAACAGTTCAACCCATAACATGTGGGGTTCCCAGGGTGACCAGGAGGAAGAGGATAGAGCAAGGACAGAGATTCAGGAAGGAAGAGACCGGAATAAAGATACCAGGATTGTGAGGCTGAAACGAGACAAGGAAGCTTCCTTCCTCCAGCAACTCGTGTCTGTGTTTTATTAACCTCCTAGCACTTTACAAAGAGGGCCCTCGGATTCAACAGAGAGCCGGGCTGTCTGTAAACCCCACCGGGCCCCTTCTCCACCGGTGTGCATCTGGCAGCTGCCATGGGGGCCCCACAGGCCTCCCTCCTGCATCCTGTTGTCTGCTCCTCACCAGATTCTTGGTTGGCTGCCACCTAATTTCTTTTTGGCCTGGGCTAATTTCTTGCAGTCCTCGGGCTGGCGGGAAGCATCACTAATTCCCAAAGTCCTTCCATATGGGCGATTCAAACCCCTCCATCTGCAAAGCGTGCACATTTCCTTGGCTTTATCCTTGCAGAATAGTGGTACCCTAAGTCTGCAGGAGCATGGAGCTTGTTTCAATGTTTTGAATTCCCCCTCCCCATTTGCTGGTTTACTCGGTTCCCTTTGTCCCCTTCCCCCAGATTTGATACCCAAGGTTGAATTTTCCAAGGTGGAGTGTTATGAAGAGTGTGGAGACAATTAAGAGAAAACGTGAAGTCTCTTTGCCCGTTGACATGGACGTCAGAAAGTCTGGAGCCTTCGCAGGCCTGGCTGGAATCAGCTCTGGGTGTGATGGGTCTCAGCATGTGAACAAAATCAGCATGAACATCACCCTTTGCCAACCTGGCTCTTGGGGACCAGGGGACAGTTATGAAATAGTGGTCAAGTGACTGAGAATAATGAGGCTTCTGCTGATTAACTTAGGTCCCAGGCAAAGTCCAGCCAAGAGCTGTTCTTGCCACCACAGACCTCTGCATATTTGAGAGAATTATTACACTTCTCCAATGGTTAAGAGTCACTTCACCTCTGGCCTCCAGCTTTTTGACGCTGCCAGAAGCATTCAGTAATCCCCCTGTGACACGTCACCTGTCCCATCTTTACCGTTAATTATTTCTTGTCCTTGATTTCCTCTCAAGTGCCAACAGCCACTTCTGAGAAAGACTTGGGATCAGGAGCCCAAATATTATAGCTCATATTACGGTTAAAGGTGAAATAACAAGAAAACCCAGCTACAACCTGCGGCCAGGACGTGCCAGTTTGTGTGAGATTAAAGGAGACCTTACCCAGGCACGAGAGACCCAGGTCTTGGGCTCAGTGGGGCTCTACGGCAGGAAGAGAAGGAAGGGGCTTAAAAGGTTGGGGGATTTTTCTTTTTACTTTCTTTTTCTTTTTTGAGACAGATTCTTGTTCTGTCATCCAGGCAGTAGGGCAGTGACACGATCTCGGCTCACTGCAACCTCTGCCTCCCTGGTTCAAGCAATTCTTGTGCCCTAGCCTTCCAAGTAGCTGGGATTACAGGTGTGTGCCACTATGCCCAGCTAATTTTTTTTTTTTGTATTTTTTGTAGAGATGGGGTTTTGCCACGTTGGCCAGGCTGGTCTTGAACTCCTGGCCTTAAGTGATCCGCCCACCTTGGCCTCCCAAAATGCTGGGATTACAAGCATGAGCCACTGCATTTGGCCGACTCATCTAATGTTGACAGGTGTCTTGCCTCCCTCCTTATCTCTTTTCCCAGCTGGTACTTCTGCTACAAATGGGATTTCTTCATGTAACAGGAAAATGGTCTCCCATCAGCCCAGCTTATATTACTTCAGTGTAGCTGGCCACTCCTGTCTTTCAGAGCTCAGATACAACACACCCGAGAATTTTCTCACAGGCCCATTTTACATCAGGTGTTCCGTCCTTAGACCAGTTACAGCCCAGGAAAATGTGGTTCTCTGATCAGAGAGGATTTCCGCATGGGCTCTGTTTCTAGAAAAAGGAGGAGTTCTGGGTACAGAGCAGATAAAACCAGCACAGTCCACTACACCCCCAACAACGAGGGCACATTCATTCAGTCGCAGGTGCCTTCCCCCTGCCTGGAATACTCTCCAAACCCAACCCACTTGACAACCTCAGCTTTTAAGACCAAGGCTTCCAGCACACACTTGCTCACACTCATCCCTTAACAGAGTTGAATCCATCCTTTGGACCACCTTATGCCCTTGTACATGCCTCAATTATTTCACTCACTCACTCACCCACTCACTCCCTCCTTTGTTAATTTAACAAATGCTGGCCGGGCACGGTGGCTCACGTCTGTAATCCCGGCACTTTGGGAGGCCAAGGTGGGCAGATCACCTGAGGTCAGGAGTTTGAAACTAGCCTGTCCAAAATGGCAAAACCTTGCCTCTACTAAAAATACAAAAATTAGCCGGGTGCAGGGGCACGTGCCTGTAATCCCAGCTACTTGGGAGGCTGAGACAGGAGAACTGCCTGAACCTGGGAGGTGGAGATTGCAGTGAGCCAAGATCACACCATTGCACACCAGCCTGGACAATATGGACAATAGAGCCAGACTCTGTCTCTCAAAAAAAAAAAAAAAAAAAAAGTGCTTAGGGCACGTTGCACCCAACTCCTCTTGGGTTGTGAGTTTCTTAAAAGCAGGAATCATCCCTGTCATCTTGGGATCTCCAACCTTTGCCAGAGTGCTTGGCCCACTGTCGAGGCTCGGTAACTACTGGAGGTCACAACCTTAAATGTTGGGGTGACTGCAGGACTTGGCCACCCCCTGGCCAGATGGAGAACCTGGGGTGCTGGGTACAGAGGGAGGAACTGAATGCCACAGGTTGCCCAGCTTAAGTCAGTAATTTCTCTATAGTCATTGCATATCCATCATACCCTAGACTTTCAAGAAGGACTCTATGCCTTCTGTAGCAGTGAATGGCAGAATTCACTCTATAACACATGCCTGGTTTGGCCTGATATATTGTGCATAGGAAGTGCTTATTTTTCACATATTAGATCTGAGACTCTTAAGAGGTCATGGTGGCCACCTTGAATTCCCTGGGGTTATGAATTTCTTCGTGGTGTTACTTGTTAGCTTGTAAGGCAACCCCTTGGTAATAAGGGGCTACTTGCTGTCTCCTGGCTACTATGTCTATCAGTCTAGTTTTCTTCTCTAGGATCGCAGGGAAAGTGATCCCTCCCCTTTCCAGTGGCCATTTCACATCATGTTCATTCATTTATTCATGTGTTCATATATGCATTCATTCATGCAATCATTTATTTAAAAACAGTTTTGAGGCCTATTTTGTCCAAGACAGTCAAGTCCTCTGTTCCCATTGAGCTGACATCTTTAGAAAAGAGAACTAGACAGTTAAGCAGCTAATCAAACAAACAGGAGAAATAAAATTGTCACAGAGCCATGAATAAAGAAAATAGGGCAAAACGAGGGTTGGGGCAAATTTTGATAGAGTAGACAGAATGGTGGCTTTGAGGACGAGGCACCTACACGCAATGTGGGAGAAGAGCATCTAGGGAATTGAAGGAAGAGAAGGTGGTCAGTGTGGCTTGTGTGGCAGTGAGGGAGGCGAGAAAGATAGAAAATGAGGATGGAAGGCTGGGTAGGGTGGTTCATGCCTGTAATTCCAACACTTTGGGAACCTGAGGCAGGAGGATCACTTAAGTTCAGAGGTTCAAGACCAACCTGGGTAACAGCAAAATCTCATCTCTACAAAAAATAAAAAATAATAATAAAATAAATTTAAAAATTAGCTGGATGTGGTGGTGCGCACCTGTAGTCCCAGCTACTTGGGAGGCTGATGTGGGAGGATCGCTTGAGCCCAGGAGTTTGAGGGTGCAGTGAGTGTGATGACACCACTGCACTCCAGCCTGAGCAACAGAGGGAGACCCTGTCTCTAAAAAAATAATAATTTAAAAAAATAAAATAAATGAGGATGGAGTGGCAGGCAACCCATTTGGGACCTTGTAGCCACGATAAGGCACTAGGGATCTCTTGTCAGAAAGAGAGACGCCTTTTGAGGGTTTGAAGCAGGGGAGTGATGTATAATTTTGTAAGAGCACTTCACATGTGGGATCTTGAGGTAGATTTCCAAATCCGTAAAGACAATGAGGAGCTTCCTGCTACTTTTATTTTGAGGAATCAGAAAGGTTCTGATTTAGAGGTGAGTTTTGGAAGCCCTGGAGAGAGAGCACCATAATATCTGGAGCCAGAGTCGGGGATCCCAAAACAAGCCATGGGATTCTCCTCTTGGAAGGTGGTCTTGGAAGGGCATCCTCTTTTTTTAGATAGCCAGGTTTGGTGTTTTTTGTTTTTCCCATGTCCCTCTTATGAATTCCCAGCAATGGGGAAAAAAAATAGGAGGCTGGCCAGCAGGAGACCTTTTATTATTTCCTCATGAAGAAGGATGGGGTTATTCTTAGTAAGACACCACGTTTGCTGCCACTGTTGTCTGTGATGGAACCCACGCTGCCAGGGAGGAGTGGATGTCTCATTGTCAGAACCAGGGCCATGGACAATGTATTTATGTGTTGTTTTTTAAGATGCACATCCATTAAAAAGAAACAGACAAGCAAGCATCTAGTAAAAACATTGCCACACATGATGGATAAAGGGCAGTATCCTTAATACACAGAACTCACCTCAATAGGAAACTGGAGACCCTATTTTGTTTTGAATGGAAAAGGATGTGAACAGACTTTTACAGGAAAGAAAATGCAGATGGTTAATAAAAAGCATTTAATTTCACTAGAATCAGACAAATGCAAACTAAAACAATAGCAGGATACAGGGTGTCTTTTGGGGGGAATTCTGTTGTCAAATTGAAAAAAATATTTTTCAAAAACTGCAGTGCTGGTGAGGCTGTAATGAGATGGACATTCTCATAAACAATTTGTGAGATGTACCTTAAAAAGGGAACTTTTTTTGGGTATCTTACAAAAAGCTTACACCCTTTAATCCATTAGTCCCACTTCTTAGGATCTATCTTATGAAAATAATTTAAAATAATGGCACTGATTTGTATATGAAATATTGGAAATAGCTTATATGATAATAGTAGATGATTGGTTTACTTAATTATGATATATCATTCAGTGAACTATTGTGTAGAAATTAAAAATTATATTTTAGAAGATATTTTTGGTAGTAGAGAAAAATATATACACTATATTATTATGTGGAAAACATTAAAATCAAAAGAAAGTATGGAGCAATTATGAATGTGAATGCATATTATATACATTGAAATTGATCATTGGATCAAAAATGTATATACAAAGGTTGTTAGGAGTTTCCTCTGCATTGTAAAATTATGAGCATTTTGTTTACTTCTTTGTACATGCCAAGGAATTTTTGTTTTTTTATACACAAAGAATGTGTATTACTTTTAAAATCAGATAAAAGTAGCAAATGGTTATAAGTGCTCCCTATTGCCCCAGCCTGGGCTGATTTTTTTGTGTTACTTAAAAATAAGGAATCCAAAAATAGTTTGATCTTTGGTGGTATGAATCAAACAATGTGTGAATCCTCCTGGGGCCCTGTGATGGAGTCAAAAGCATGTGGACTTGGAGCCAGATGACCTGAGTTCCAATGCGGCTCTCCTGCTTCTGAGCTTTGTGATTCGGAAAGTTCATAATTTCCCTGGGCTGCAGTGTTCCCATCTATAAAATGGGGAGATGGTCCAGATCTTTACCCAGGTCTGTTTGTGAGCACTCATCAGGATCCTGTCTCTAGAGGGACCTAGCAAATAGCCTGGCATGGGCTCGGCCATCAAATCCCTACTCTTGCTGCTTTCCAGAGGTTGCTACTTGAAAAAAAAAAAAAAAAAAAAAACCAAGATGTGTTGGTTGATTTGAGATCTGCAGGAACAAGAGCCGGAGCCATGAGGCTACACAGACCTGGCCCTGCTGCCTCTCTGCAGCGTATCTTTTTGAACAAGTGACTTAGTCTTCCTGAGCCTCAGGGTGCTCGTTTGTGAAATGGGAGTTGATGACAACCCTCACCTCCTAGGGCAGTTGTCCTCACCATGGATAATACATACATTCAGTAGAGTGCGTGGTACCTTGCAGAATCTCGGTTGATTCACTTTGATATATTTTTTTCTGGTTGCAAATGAAATAGATGTTCAATGCAGGGAATTTAGGAAAGAGCCTGTGAGAGAGAGAGAGAGAGAGAGAGAGAGAGAGAGAGAGAATATATATAGTGTTTCCAGCCCTTTGACTTTATAGTGGAGTAGCTGTGCCTTTGCATTTAACTGCCCTCATCCCCCACCTGCTCCCACTTCTGAACTAAGCTGCCGCCCTGCAAGTCAGTGCTATCATCCCCAGCAAGCTGTGGCCGGATGCCCTGGTGTTTCATCAATGTCCCAGTGTGGTAACACTGCTGTTGGCTTTCTCAGCAGATCCTTCAAGCCAGACTTCATCCTGGTCCGCCAGCATGCCTACAGCATGGCCCTGGGGGAAGACTACCGCAGCCTGGTCATCGGCCTGCAGTATGGAGGGCTGCCTGCTGTCAACTCTCTCTACTCCGTCTACAACTTCTGCAGCAAGCCCTGGGTGGTAGGTGACAGGGCAGGCTGACCTGGAGGGATCTGGGAGGCAGTGGGTGGCCTCCCACTCTGCGACAAGCCCACTCCCCAGCATGGAGGCCTCAGTAGTAAAAATTCTTATTTAAGCAACTGAACTGAACTTGGATCCTAGGGCTCTTGTTGGAATTGTTGCCTAACAATTATATTAATTTTATATTTTATATATTATTATGGTAAATATTTATAGGCCGGGCACGGTGGCTTATGCCTGTAATCCCAGCACTTTGGGAGGCCAAGACAGGCGGATCACCTGAAGTTGGTAGTTCGAGACCAGCCTGACCGACATGGAGAAACCCCATCTCTACTAAAAATACAAAATTAGCCAGGCATGGTGGCGCATGTCTGTAATCCCGCTGTAATCCCAGCTACTCGGGAGGCTGAGGCAGGAGAATCGCTTGAACCCGGGAGGCGGAGGTTGTGGTGAGCCGAGATCGTGCCGTTGCACTCCAGCCTGGGCAACAACAGCGAAACTCTGTCTCGAAAAAAAGTTTTGTAATAAATAAATGCATATACGTTAATATATACATGTTATATATTATACATGTTACATGTAATATATGATATATGATATTACATATATGTAATAATTGATCTTTGTAATATATAATATATAATACAGTGACAATATATGCTATTAATAATATATAATAACAAAACATGTTATTATATAACATTATGATATGGTGTTATGTTATAATATTAGTCATAAAGATGCACCATATTGTTTTATGAACATTCTATCATTATTGTTAACAGCAGACTCCATTTATTGAGCACTTACTATGTCCCAGAAAACTATGCTACCTGGCACTCAAACTGTCGCTCTCGTGTGAAGTGAGTGTCAACCCTTCATTTTACAGAGATGGAAGCTCAGCTTCAGGCCACTTAAGGAACTTGCTCAGTGAGTGGTGAGGCCACAATTTAAGCCATCTCTCTCTCCAACACCCAACATTTAATTTCTCTTCTTTTATTCCTTAGTTTCAGTCATTCATTTGATTTATTTGAGTTTCCATCCAAATGTTACCTGTAAGAAAGACTTCTTAAAATACCACTCCTCGCCAGACACGGTGGCTCACGCCTGTAATCCCAGCACTTTGGGAGGCCGAGGCGGGTGTATCACGAGATCAAGAGATCGAGACCATGCTGGCCAACATGGTGAAACCCCGTCTCTACTAAAAACACAAGAATTAGCTGGGCGTGGTGGCGTGCACCTGTAGTCCCAGCTACTCGGGAGTCTGAGGCAGGAGAATTGCTTGAACCCAGGAGGTGGAGGTTGCAGAGAGCTGAGATTGCGCCACTGCGCTCCAGCCTGGTGACAGAGCAAGACTCCATCTCAAAGAAAAAATACCACTCCTCCACTCGCTCAAGTACTCTCAAATCCCTTACCCTGCTTTATTTTTTTCCTAGATACTTATCTCCACCTAGAATGATAAATTTATCCATTCATTTGTGCATTATCTGTCTCCCTGATTAGAAGTTATTCGTTCATGTAGCAAATACTTCTTGGGCACTTACTGTGTTCCAGGTGCTGTTGTAAGTCCTAGAAACATAGCAGTGAACAAATCAGACCAAAATCCCTGCCCTGTGGATCTTACATTCTAGTGAGCAGGGGCATGTGCGGTGCTTTAATACTTATGCCAAATATGCAATATGTCCTATGATCAGTGGCAAGGGGGAAGATCAAGGACAGAAAGAGGATAGGTAATGTGGAGGCTTGGGGTATGTAGAAAGTGCTCTATGAAGCTCATAGCTGTCTGGTCTGTGGTGTTTTGCTATCTCTCTGTGTGATCACCTGGTGGTGTAGGGTGGTAGTTGAGAGTGTGAGCTCTGAAGCCAGATTCCTAGGTCCAGGCTTCTCCACTTATGAGCTGTGTTACTCGAGCAGCAACCCCATTAACCTCTCTGAACTTAGCTTCCTTATTTGGAAAGTGGTGGTAGTAATAGCGCCTTCCTGGTAGGGTTATGATTTAATAGATGAAAACGCTTAGAATGTGGCTGGCACAAAGTACACACTCAATAAGTGGTAAAAATTTTCACTGCCTTAGATACCTGGAACAAGTTCCATGTAGAGTTGGAACACTCAGTACTTACTGAATGGCTACATGCATTAATTTAATAGGTATGGATAGAATTTACCACTATTGTCATGGCCCTGGTCTCCTTCTCATTCTGCCCTAACTGGGCTTTTTGGCCAATGGCATCCAAGATTTTCGAGTGCCACTGTTAGGAAAGGGTCCTAGATGGTGTTAGCCCTTCCCCACCTTTTATCACAGTTATCACGATAGTAGCAACCACAACTCATCAGCACTAGCCGTGTGCTATCCTGAGCCCTTAACGTGCATATTGTGTTTAATTCTTAGCACCCTTATGAGTAGGAGTTGCTAATATCTCCATCTTACAGATGAGGAAACTGAGGCTCACATAGCTAGTAGAAAGTGGTAGAGCTAGGCCTCTTCAAAACTCATGTGCTTACCTGCGGAATCACTCTCCCTTTCTGGACTCCAATTTCCTTGTCTGCAAAATGAGGGACCCCACACACACATACATCGTTTTCCATATTTCTGAGTTCTCTTAAACCCTCGAAGTTGACTCCCTGTTGTGCTGCATCTGAAGGCTATACCCCAAGAGTTTGCAGACCAATCTTGGGTGGATGCAGAAAGTTCCTAGTTACTCTGTTTTCAGTGTCCAGGCTCTTAGTATTGAGTGACCTCCAAGTCAGGTTGGCCACTCCTTTAACCACTGGGCATCCACATGGGACCACAAATTCCAGTTGATTCCTTTATCTTGTTCGGAATCTGATTTGCTCTTCTCTGCTTATATCCACCAGCAGCTCTCCTTCACCTTCTGGGTGAATTCTAAGCTTTCTGGTCAGGCCTTTAAGGCTGGTGGTCTGTGATGGATCATGCTTCCACCTCGTCTCTCATCATCACCTGCAACTGACGCCACAGCATGGCAGCTGCAGAGGGTCTCCAGCATACATTAGTCTCAATGCACACCCGGAGGGCCCTTTCTCCTTCTCTTATGTCGTCTGCTCCAGGGGATCATCCTGACTCCCTACTCTGTCCCCCTTCCAGGTCCCTTCACCCCCTATGCTTCCCTCCAGCAAGATATTAGTGTCACAGCCATGCACCTGCAGCCTGTCTTCCTTCAGGCCTTGCCCCCATATTCAGCTTGTTGCTCCAATAATAAAGCATAGCGACAGAGCTCACCTTTGAGCTCCGGAGACAGTAGCTAGTATCTGGCAAAACAAGCAAGTGTTGAAGCAGGAGGAGAGCAGTGGGAAGGGATGTGGCTTGAGCTGTTGGAAATGAGAGGGGTTGCAACAGCAGAGAAAATATTTATTAATATAACACCTAGCATTTTAGCACTGCTGTGGACAAAGCACTGCCTCTGACACACTGTATCCTTACAACAATCCCATGAGGTTGGATCTCCAGTTTACGAGTGAAGAAACGAAAGCTCAGAAACCTGAATTGACTTCCCAGGTTATACAGCTAGTAAGTGGCAAAGCAAGAATTTGAACCCAGGAAGGCTGGATCCACATCTAACACCATCAATTACCATGCAGCGCTGCCTCTCTAGAAAGAAGGTATGGCAGGCAAGGAGCAGGGCATGAACATCAGCAGGTGGAGAAGGACATGGTGTGAAATGCTGAGGCTATAGTAAGTGCTCATTAAATATGGTTGGGCTGAACCCAGTGTTCTGCCTACTTACTAGGTCTTGGGCAGAAATGGAGGGGTTAATATGGCTAGATGATGGAGAGGATGAATGTCCAGCCAAGGAATCTGGTCTTTATCCTATAGGCAGGGTAGGATAGCACCTACTGAAGCTCGGCTCAGAACAGTCAGATGCTTGAGGCCTCAGATCAAGTGGGAGGTTTTGTTATACTGGGTGACAATAGTTGATCAATGTTCTCTCCTCTTCTATCCTAGTTCTCTCAGCTCATTAAGATCTTCCATTCCCTGGGTCCTGAGAAGTTCCCGCTTGTGGAGCAAACATTTTTCCCCAACCATAAGCCAATGGTGAGTGCCCTTTTTTACTCTGTTTCTTTGCATGATGCGGAATGAATACAGATGACTTGTCCTCGGTCTCTTTGGATGGAGGAGGTGGACTCTAGGGGTTGTACACTGACCACGCAGACTCTAAGGCGGAGTCACAGTGTCCTGTGGGAGTGCCTGGATTTCCTAAGGGAAGTCGTCTCTCCAGGTGAAATTCAGGCAATAGGGCAAATAACAAAGGTGAACCACATTCCTTGGAACTTGGAGATTTTCAGCAAATCAGGGGACACGTTCTGGGGGCATGTTAGAACCAGAGGCTGATTATAAAGGTAAAAGATGTTTTCAAGGTGGGATGTTGTTTTACTTGAGCCTTTTGTGGAACCTGATTTCAACTCATATTTTAATAAAAAGCAGTAATATTAATATTTGATTTGCATTGGTTGTTGAAGGGCAGTTTCCTTACATGTCCTCTTCACTTTCCAATTTCTGAATGCACCTGAGATCTCCTCTGGGAAGCAGGGCTTAGCTCAGGATATGTGGTACAGCCTCCCATTTGGAGGATACCTGGGTGGAAGAGGTGAATGTCTTTCTGAATGAGGTGAAGGGTTCTCCACCTGAAGCCAGAAAGTGTTGGGGGGAGGAGCTCTAAGCAGCAGGAAAGAGCCTGCAACATGCCTGCTTGCATAGTTGATGGTCTTCGTAAACTGGTCAAAGGAATTCAAGGCTGTGACCCTGCGCTTGGCCTTGCAGGGAATGCGTCTTTGGGAACAGAATAATGAATAGAGTATACCATAGTCCCAGGTGGGGACTTACTGTGGCTGTTTGTAGAGTCCAAGCTCAGGCTTCTGGGCTAGACAGTCCTGTTTGGAGATACTGATGGGTAGGACTGCAGATTTCAGGAGTAATCACTCTAACCAAGCAGAATTTCTATTGATGATCTTTCCCCTGTATCTGATCGGGCAAGAGTCACAGAATCCAGAACATGCTGGTTGAGATAAGAAGGGCACATGTGAAACCCAGCATATCCCCAAACCCTGGATTTTTCTTACTGTATGCATCCTTACAGTGGGGAAAATTCAGAGTTCATTATCAAACTAGCCTGAATTTGAATGCCAGTTCTGTCTACACACTAGGTCTCAGGAAAATGACTTTATCTCTGTGAGCCCCAACTTCTTCAGGTAAAAACCGTGGATGATTGTGGAGCAACCTCATCGAGTAGTCAGGATTTCATGAGATCCTGTATATAAAGTGCTGTACCTGGCATATAGTAGGAGTAGCTTTAAAACAAGGGTGAAAACCTAGAACGTTGTCAATGGTGGGATGAAAGTCAGGCGAGGGGTCTGCAGCCAGCCCAGCCCATTGACAGTGAGAGGCCCTGCTGTATACTCTGAAAGGAGGTTGTTATAAGCTCTGGGAAAAGGTCACCAGCTGTCGTGAGACCTCATGAGTTCCTGGTGTTCCCAACTAGGCCAAGCCATACTTGGAATTTCAAGCAGGCAGTTGACATCAAGGACTGCTGTTTGCAGGCCGCCCCTCCCCACCTCCACCAGGTTGGGATTCTTAGGAAGAAAACAAGGAGGGCTGAGTAAGGACTCCAGTCTGGGGGTACTTGTACCACCAATAGGTGATTAGGTACAGATATATTAATACATCCAGATTCAGCAGAACTAGGGAGGACTCTAGCAATAGAATCAGGGAGCAAAGTCAAGGCAGGGCACCTCTCCTAAGATTCCTTCTGCAAGGGAAAAGGACTGGAGCAGGGTGGGGCCAGGCCATAGCGGTGCATGGAGGGAGGGATGTGTCCAGGCCTGGAGCTGGGGATAGACTTTCAAGGCCTGCTGGTGTATACATAACTCCCCGTGGCGTCAGAACACAACAAGGCAAGAGACAGCAGATGTGTGATAGAAATAAAACCACTTTACTGTTTAGAATAAAGGACACACTATAAAAAGTGAACATTATGCAACATTACAAGACAATATACATTCACGGAATATAAAATTCATAAATAACATGGAGGAAAACTGTAAACAGTGCTACGAAATTTAGCAACAAATACATTCCTTCTAGACAGGGTTCGAGATCTCTTGTTGGTTTCTCTCCATCACTTCTGGGTTTCAGGACAGCAGACTGGCTAAAGGGAAAGGCGGATGCTGGGAGAATCTAAGAAGCCTCTACCCCCAAAGCAAAAACTATTCTCCAAGTTCTCCCCTTCCTCTCGCCTCCAAAGAGCCAATTTGGAAGTTGTTGTCACATCCACCTCCCCTACTTTCCATTTTGTTTTGCTTTTGCCATCAGATTTTTATAATGTTTGTCTCTCATAAAAATACTCTAGTGACATGTTAACCTTAGGTAGCCAGAAGCCAAACACTTGGGTGCCATCTTGGGGTAGTCCAGATTGTCAATTGTCACATGCAAGACAGAGGTCTGGGGCATGGAAGGGTAGTGTCTCCTGGGGGCCACAGTTTGCCCTAGACAGGGCTATTCCAAAAAGTCATTTGTTTCTTTAATTGTTCAAGAACCATGTTGCCACCATGAGGCAGGTCTGGAACGAGGGGAGGGTAAAAGACAGGAGTCTCCCAGTATTACCTACCCTGGACAGAGCAGAGCACTGGCCCGAGAGCTGAGAGCCTGAGCATGGAGCTTCCTTGATTGGGAGGCAGAAGAGATGCCCAAAGGAGGAAGCGAGAACTTGGAATTGTATCTCCCATGGCCCTGGATTCTTAGGAAAATCATGGCTTCCCAACTGGATGGGCAGCAGGACTTGGGGTGAAGTAAATGGTAGACTACCCAGGGCCGAGTGACACAGAACAAGAACATGAATGTAGTTTAAACTTTTTTCCTACTCCAGGAGCCATTGGGATTCCAATAGGGAGGAGGCTGGAGGAGTCTCAGTTACTAGTTCCTTCTATTTCCCCCAATTCACCAGTCTAGCTGCTTGCCTAGAAGTATTTTCCTCTCCATTCCACTGCAGAATTTGATTCAGGAAAATGGCGGCATGTGGGTTTCATTTTTCTCTTAAACACAATGTACACATATTACAGCCTACACATGACACAAGATTTAGCAAAATAAAATGTTCATGATATGATTGAAATACAGAAGTGTCTCAGCTACATAAATGATTTTAAATTATACAGTAAGTGAACGGGTGAAATAAACAAAGCTATAGCTTATAGAAAGCTCAAAACCGCCCTCTGACATCGCTTTGCGAAAGACCCTTCTTTGCCCAGGGCCTCCTCACCAAGGCCTAACAGATGGGGATGTGGTTCTGCTAATTTATCGACTCCGCAGGGAAACTTCAGGTGCCTCACACTCAGCCTTCACCCAAGTTCCTCCTTGTGTGAGAGAGGCTGACCACACCAGGGAGTGCGAATGGCCAGATGCCTCACAGAGAAGACACTGATGTCCACTTGTGGGAGGGAACTTGTGTAGGTTGGTCAGGGGCCCCACCATGCGAGACCTTGAGGTTAAAATAAGGACAATCCCAAAACATCAAGTCTGGGCTCATCCCTTCAAAACCAGTGACATGCTGGCATCAGCTTCTGCTCACACTGCCTCACAAAGAAGGCCAAGCCTCCCATTCTCCCCCTGCCAAATGGCATGACCACAATGGGAAAGGTACACGGTAATGAAATTGATCCCAAGGAAACCCGATGCCGGTACTCTCTTCCCACTCTGCGGTTCTGCCAAGCACCTTGCCTGGGCACTTGTGTGTGTGCAAGACTCTACAGTGTGTTGTCTGCTGCTTTTTTTTTTTTTCTTCTTCTGTTTCAATTGGCAGCTCTGTTTCCTAAAGTGGAATGAACTGAAGATACAAATACTAATAGAAGATAAATACCCATAAGCTGAAAAAAGAGACAGAGAGCAATCATGTTCAATGTCACCATCCTGCCAACCCCCACTCTGTAAAATATACATTATCACCTACTCTCAGCATCTCACTTTTGACACTAAAACTTAAAATAATTTTATTTAATAGGAGAATTTATATTATAGTTTTATTTCAAAAAAAAAAAAAAAAACACAACAGAAACCCTACAACTGGTTGCAAACTCAGGCTTTCCCCAGTGACCAACAATTTTAATTCCAAGAGGTGAGGATCTCAGGAGGTGGCATTCACCCACCAGGGAGCTAGGGAAAGGGAACCAAGCTGTCTCCACACCCAGGAGAGGTGTCCCTCCAGCCAAGGCAGGCAGGACACTCTGCAGCTCTCCCTCCTGTGCCCAGGCCCTTGACTACACTCTCATCTGCCATCTGAGCTAAGCCAGGAAGGCAGTTAAAGAAAGGCCCCCAAACATGAAGCAGGGACAAGGAGACGGACAGGGGTCAGATGACCCATGATAGGGAAGAGAGGGTGCTGACGGTGTTCAGAATTTCAAATTTTAATTAAAATGAAAAAAAAATGTCAACTTGGAATGTCATGATTTTCTTCAAACAAGCAACGACAACAAAATAGAAGAGATTAAACTATTGGCATATTTAACAGCATTGAACAGAATTCTGTGTCCTGTAAAAAAATTAGCTTATGTCCCCATGTGGGTATATGCAAATGTGTATACAAACATATCCCCCTAGGTGAGCTAAACACTATTCTGGAAATAGTATCCTCTACCCAAATCTACTTGGCTATATCTGTGGATAGTGTATGGTGTGTGTATTTATCCAATTTACATAAAAGAAAGCTCCTGGCCAAATCTACCAAAGCGTTTTCCAGGAGGAAGTCTGGTGGGAGGCAGGGAGAGGAAAGACATT
Organism: Homo sapiens; assembly: GCF_000001405.40. Taxonomy (NCBI): domain Eukaryota; kingdom Metazoa; phylum Chordata; class Mammalia; order Primates; family Hominidae; genus Homo; species Homo sapiens. Next base: position 32,860,183 of record NC_000022.11, on the reverse strand, counting down.
CATCTCAGTCTTTCACCTGAGCTTTTGTACAAGGCAGGCAAATTGCCTCCTGACCTCAGGCAGATGTTTAAGTCTTCACCAACTAAGAAAGCTCTGTTATTCTGGCCTGGGTGCTTGCTCCAGACTCAGGAACATCTGGTCAACACAAGCATCACTGGGCTGGGGAATTGTGTGTGTGCTGCATCATCTCCGACTCTCTTGTAGTTCCTTCCTTCCCTCCCTCACTCTTACATGCAGACACAGACAGACACAGTCTGGTTGGGACATGCAGTGGCAGCTCCTGGTGTATAACATCTTTCACACACCTTGAGTCTATCTGCTTGCTGCCTTTGACTGATCCTGAAATGGTTGGCCTTTCAGCAAGTTCCTTGTCTGTGTCCTTTATGTATTGGAGGAGAAGGGCAAAGGGAAGAGGGTCTGGGAGATGGTGAGGTGGGGAAGAAGCAAGAGGGGTGGGAATTACAATCCTCAAATGGAGTAGTTTTTCATTTTTGTTTTCCTAAAAAAATAGAGATTATATTATCACGAAGAAGAGGAATACAGGTTCCTCATTCTTTCTGGCATGGCACCAGAAATTCCCAGGTGGAAATGAATGATGTCAAAACCAAAAAGAAGGGGCAGGGTGGGGCCAGGAGGATAGTTCCCAATAAACCCCATATGACAGCATAGACCTTTCTTTAAATGTTCCAAGTGCTAAATTTGCAAGAAAACAGGCACTAATTTCATTGTCATCATCTGGGAAGAGTTAGTGTCCAAGGGAAGCTCAGCGGGAAGGGAGGGAAGTGAGGTGGGGCAGGGTCTGGCGCTCAGGGGTCTGTGGCATTGATGATGCTTTTATCCGGGGGGGCCCATCCTCGGTACCAGCTGCAGTAGCCGCCCTTCTGCCGGATGCAGGCGTAGTGTTTGGACTGGTAGCCAGGGTAACCGAAATTGGAGAGCATGTCGGTCCAGAGACACTCGTTCTTGGAAGTCACAAAGCAAGGCAGGTAGTAGCAGGACTTGATCTGCAATTAGATAACAGGCAGCAGTTGATGGACTCTGCCATGGTATGCCCAGGCCTGAGGCTACCGAGCCTGGATTCAGACCCTGGGGCCACTGCATGGGAAGCCTAGCCACATCAGTCCCTCAGTGATCATAATATAAATAGCACTAGCTTGAGCATCTGCTGTCTAACAGACATTCTGATAAGTGCTTTGATATTATTCTCTTTAATTCTTATCACAGTTTTAGGAGGCTCTGAGAGGTTAAGTAACTTGCTGCAGGTCACACAGCCAGTAAGTAGCAGAATTAGACTACTGAGAGGACTTTTTCGTCTCAGGTGGGAGATCTCAGTTGTTTTAGGGAATCGAGGAATTAGAAAGGTTAGAGCATAAACTTTGGAGTCTAGCTGCCCTAGGTTGGAAACCAGATTCAGTGAACTGTGGGACCTAGGGCTAGTTACTTAAGTTCTCTGAGCTCTCATCTGCAGAATGGAGATCATAGTAATTAAAACCACACAGGACTGTTTTGAAGATGAAGTGAGAGAATGGCCCAACTTCCTCCCACAGCAGGCAGGCTGCACCTTGGCCCTATACTTGGGTCAGGGGGATGGGCCTGGTAAAGAGAGACCTTCTGTAGCATCTGGTCTCTGCAGTCCTGGGCCCATTTGCCTACCTGGGGTGGGGTTAGCGATGAGTCAGCTACCAGGGTGAGCCCACTTGAAACCACTTGGGAGAACCTGCCAGTGTCAGGATCCTATACCTCCAGCCTTGAACTGCCAGGTGGGGCCAGGGACTCAAGAGCCCTCATGCCCCAGCAGCTTCCAAGTGGTCATCATGGAGGCAGCCGATTACAGCAGAAAGGCATTCTTCCTTCCCTGCCTTCCTCACTGCCCCACCTGGGGCAACAATCCTTACTATATCTGCTCAGACCTGCCCCTCTGCCCTGGCCTAACACATGCATACCCTTCCCAGCCGAGGGCCTGGCACCCAGTGCATTGGGAGCTGATGTTTCTAGGGCTGCAAGTCAGCACCTCCCCTCCTTCCCCCAGTGACCCCAGAGCTTACCTTGCAGTTACAACCCAGGTGATACCGATAGTTCAGCCCCTTGCGCTGGGAGAGGGTGAGCTGGTCCCACCTCTCCACGAAGTTGCACAGCCCCGTGTACATCTTGCCATCATAGACGCGACCTACAGGAGGAAAGAAGAAAACAAGGAGAGGTTGTTTTGTCCAGAGCCTAGCCCAGAGAGAATTCACACCTACTATGTTCCCACTTAGCCCAGGCACTGTGGCTGGGTACTTTTCAGACCCATGATTTTATTTCACCCTACCCAACACCTTTTAAAATGGACTGTAGCCCCATTTTCCAGATGAGGATAATGAGGCTTGGAGAGGTAAAGTGATTTGCCAAAGGTCCCAAGCCCATTAAATACTGGAGCTAGGACTAGAGGCCAACTCTTCACTCCCTTTATAATGATTTTTGTTTTTGTTTTCTCCTTTACTACACTGACTGCCTAAAGATGAATAACTTTCAAAGACGGGCCTAACAGGTCGAGTGTGAGGTGGAGAGGAACAGATACTCCCTTTTTATTTACAGTAAAGTTGAGAAGCTACAAATTAGGAGATTTCCTCCCCCAGGTGAGTGGTGGAGCTAATTCCAAAGTCCAGCCTAAGTGTAGGAGCCTCAAGCTCCTAGCACTGGGTAAGTGGGATGAATTCAACATTAGAGACTCCTTACAATTTACTGGACATTTGGTGAGTCAACTACTCCGTATGTGTTCTTCTGAAGTCAAGAAACAGTGGACCTTGGCCAAACCCTGGCCTAGAAGCTAGAGTTGGCCATTACCTGTCAGCAGGTACTGGTACTTGTTGACCTCCAGCTTAAGGCCACAGAGACTCTCGGAAGCTTCCGTATGGATGTACTGCACATGGGGCATCTTGGTGAAGCCTCGGTACATCTGTGGGCAAAAGGAACATCATGACTTCTTCTTTCCCAGTTTGGACACCCGTATGATCCCTAATCCCACTGCTGGGTATGTATCCAAAGGAAAGGAAATCGGAATATGGAAGAGGGGTCTGCACTCTCATGTTGACTGCAGCAATATTCACAATAGCCAAGATATGAAATCAACCTAAGTGCCCATCAACAGATGAATGGATAGACAAAACCTGGTATCTATACCCAATGGAATATGATTCATCCAGAAAAAAGAATGAAATCTTGTCATTTGTGGCAATGCAGCTGGAACTGGAGGTCGTTTTGCTAAGCGGAATAAGCCAGGCACAGAAAGACAAATACACCATGTTCTCACTCATGTGGGAGCTAAGAAAGTAAATCTCATAAAGATGGACAGTGGATTGGTGGTTACCAGAGGCAAGAAAGGTAATAAGGATTGGGGCAAAGAGATATAATTAATGGGTACAAAAATACGAGTACGCAGAACAAGTAAGACCCAGTGTTCATTGAATCAGTAGAATGACTACAGTAAACAATAACTTATTGTATATCTCAAAGTAGCTAGTAGAGGATAATTCAGATGTTCCCAGCATGAAGAAACGATAAATGTTTAAGGTTATGAATATCCCAATTACCCTGATTTGATTACTATACATTTTTGAATATATCAAAATACCACATGGACTCTCAAAATATGTCCATTTATTATGTATCAATAAAATAAGAGGAACACAGGAGAGGAGTCTCAGTACCCAGAAGGCTTGCTGACATTGGATCTGAGGGAATCTCGCTCCCCTATTCAGCTGTCCAGTGGCCGGTCACTGATCTACCCACCCCAGGGCCCCCTTCACCCCAGATGAAGCCACCGATCCTCTTGACTAGCCAGGTTGGTGCCTTCCCAGAGAAACCTTCCTGTGCAGCCAGCCATACCCCCCATTCCAACTGCCCCACAACACTCCTTCGGCTACACATGTCTGACATCCCAGCACCTTTTCAGAAATCCAGAGAAGTAGCTGTGACAAAGGTCCTTTTTCTTTGTCAACCTTAGGACCTGAGTCCCGTGAACTCAGCCAGCATTCTCATGATATCTCTGTGACACTTTCCAGCCCACAAAAACATTCTCACTCACATTCTCCTTGCAGTATCCTTAAAAGAGCCCTGGGAGGGATGTATTACAAACCCCACTTTATAGAAATTCTATTTGGCTGGTGAACGTTGAATTCAAGCTAGAAATTCTCCATGTTTTTTATTCTTCTGAGCGTCTGGTGAAAGCATTGGGTTCGTTTATCCCAGATGAAGCACATAAATGTATCTACAAAGTTCAAAGAGTTTTAACTGTTAAATACTTTATAATTGTTAGATTGAACCACGTGAAATTGCTGATATTTGGCTATTTGTATCTACGACATAATCTAATACAGTGGTTCTCAACTGGAGGCAATTTTGCCCCCCTAGGAAATATTTGGGACATGTGGCAATGTCTGGAGACAATTTTGGTTGTCACAACAGTTCGTAGAGGGTAGGGAGGTTGCTAAACATCCCATAATACTCAGGACAGCCCCCAGAACAAAGAATTATCCGGCCCCAAATGTCAATGGTACTGAGGTTGAGAAATCTCCTTTAATATTAGCCCACGAATCACCATGACAACCCTATGAGGTAGGAACTATTATGCCCATTTTATAGATGAGGAGCCTGAGTCACAGGCAGGCTAAGTAGCTTGTTAAGGCCACACAGTTGGGAAATGGCAGGGCTAGGATTCCAAGCAGAGGACTCTGCCTTCAGAGTCCATACTCTTACCCATTATCTTAGACTGGCTCCCAGGAAAGCCTCAGAAGTCTATGACCAAGGTCCCCAGAAGCAGGCAAATGCTATTTCCATTTATGGCCACTGTGCCTCCTTCAGAGGCACAGTGTGTGCCCAGAGTCACTGGGGTGAATGAATGTAACAGAAGCTGAGTCCGCTTTGTGATTCCAGGTCAAGTCCATGAGTATTACACAAGCCCAGTGTGCCAAGGCGATACTGTGAACTGTGAGATTTGGTAACGGGGGCGGTGGGGCACCAAGGTGTTGCACAATTCTGTTATCCCCTCAGTTCTCAGCGTACACAAGCCCTGGACTGCTGGTGGTCTCTGGGCTTGTCCCAAGGGTTTATAATAGGAAAATGCCTCTACTTTACTTCCTGGCATTTGGTATTAATTTACCTACAGTAATTAATACAAAGCCAGACATCTCTTCATTGGTGTCTCTTCTAAATGCCTCCCATTTGGCCTGTGAGCTGGCGTTTTCTCATCTTTTAAGTGGTGACTGGTTGGCGGGGGTAGGTGGTCCACAAGACCTTCATAGCATAACTTGGTCTGTTGGACCTACTGAGTTTGGGCGCCCCTGCCTTGTTAAAAGCACACATTGTTCTGATGGACTCAGATGGTCTTCCTTCTGAACCTCTCTTCTCCCCCAAGGCTTGCCAACTGAGCACGGTAACGCAGCCAAGTGCTGGAAGAAGTGCCGTCCACACTCAGCATTCAATTACGCGGTGGGGGCGCGGGGTGGGTAGAGTCACGATGATGACTTCTTCTATGTGAATGGTGCCTCTCTAGCCTTAACAGGAACCATGTTTAAGCGTGCTGCTGTATGCCTGCCATGGAGTGTGGCCTTCGAAGAACATCCCCTACCCTGACTTCTGTGCCGAGCAACTTCTTATTTTTGTGTGGGTGTTCCTTGAGGTTTTGGCAAATGTTTCAACTAAGCACTCGCTCTAGGTCTTTTGGACCCAGCCCATGGGAACCTCATTCCTTCTGCGTCAGTCTTTCCCCTTGACTGCCCTAGTGCTTCGTGGGTGAGAGAATGAAGCCCCTGGTTACAGTCTGGTCATTTGAACTGCTCAGTAAGAACTCAACTCATCGAAATCAGCTTGGCACCGCAGCTACTTGGAAGTTTGAAGGAACCTGCATTTTAGCTCCTAGCACTTGCCTAGAGTCGAAATTCTGACACATTACAAATGACTGGCTCTGACAAACATAGCGCTGTGTTTTAGGGTCAATTCTGAAAAGAACAACATGGCAAAGGTAGATTCTACTCAGTTGTGTTTTCTGTGTAATAATCCTACCTTGATTTAAATATTGATTCTAAAAGTATCATGTCTGTAATCATAGAGATCTAGAATTGGTTTGACAAATTTAGGAGAGTTATAATAGGTTTATAATGTCCTGACATCAGAGAATCCTAGAATCTCAGAGTTGGAAAAGATGTTAAAGGTAATCTAATCCAAACCAATGCCATGGAGATCAGTGGTAAATTCAGGTTTTGGAGGCTGACAGCCAGAGTTTGAATCTTCAATCTTCTCTGCCACCTGTGTTCGCCACTTGGAAAGTTACTTAACCTCTTTGGGTCTCAGTTTCTTCATCTGTAAAATGGGTCAAAGCACTTCTTAGGGTGTTTGAGAGAAGCAAATGACTTAGAATAGCAGTCAGCCCACAACATTCAATAAAAGTTAGCTTAGAACAAGTTATACTGAAATTCGTAAGGAGAGGAGGAATGAGTTTGGTCCCCTTTCTCCTAAGTCCCTTCCTCAGCTCTTAACAAGAGTAGTTAAAGCTGGTTTAGAACTTCAGACATAAGTGGGTTGTTCTTTTTCAGCTGGGTTCTGCATGCCTCTGGGCCCCTCTTCTTCTTCTTGGTAGCATCTACACAAAGTTCCAAGATGTTAGCTTCCCTTGGAGTGAAGGGACAAATAAAGTAAAAAAGAAGTTTCTGAGTCTGGGGACATTTGCATATTTCTTATGAAATGTCTGGCCTTCACTCTACATTGACAGCATGAGTTGCCTCAATGATTCCAACTATGTCTTGCATGCCTACCAAAGATCAACACTGTTCTGGATGCTGGTGTACATCACGGACTCATTTAAACCCACAAATTCTTATTTACAGACCGACCGAGCTATCACGGCCATGATCTTTCTCTATACAGCAATTTGTCTAGCAGGACAGGCAGAGAATGTAGAAATGGAGCCAGTCTCTGCAGAGGGCTGGATGAGAGTCCTAAGGCAGGAAGAACCACGGGCATTGCAAGAAGAATGGTTCCCTGTGGGCTGGGGGTCAAAGATGCTTCCAGCTAGAGCTTCAAAGGCGAGACCCTGCTATTGCTCATTTGGTTAGACAAACCACTAAAGGAAGGAAGTCCCTGGAGGTCTGCTCTGCCTACAGTCAGGACATGCAAAGCACATGACCAGCGGGTCTCCCCATGGGACCCTCCCAGGACCAGCTGGGACATAATGTCCCCCACGTTCTGTCCCCTGCAGCCAGCTGGAGAGCATGTCTCCGCTACATAAACAATAACTCCTGGCACAGTGGATCGGTTTCTCATGGTCCTGATGGGAGATAAGGTCCCCACAGCTTAGAGCAGCCAGTTCTGGAAACTTTCACCTTCACCCCACAGCCCAGCTAATTTCCAAGTTTGGGATTGCAATAAGCTCTCTCAACATTCTAACACCCTGCTCCCTCACACACACACACATATCGCAGGTCTCTGTGTACTGAAGTGTTCCTGAGAGATGGGTCAGAGGCTCCAGAGTTAGCAGACGGGAGAAGGTCTGCCTGCCTTCCATCAGTGAGAGAAGAGAGAGGTCAGACAGGGCGGCTCGGAGTCTCAGGTTCTCCAAGTTCCTTTAGTCCTGCTCTAAGGAAGCCCTTGCTCACCCCTTCTGACTCTCTAGGGTAGACTGTCTAATCTGCTAGAACAAAGTCTCCCAGGGACCAGTGCCAAAACTCATGCAGGCTTGCCTCTCTGGCCTCTCTCTCTTCCCTCCTACAAAGATTTTTCTGATACACCCTTTGCAGGATATTACAAGTCCAGCCCTACACTGCTGGATGATAAACCAACAAACCCAAACTGACCTCTTTTTGTTCCCTGGGAACTAAAAACATATGGAGTGGGCATTTATATACCCCAAAGTGGGTAGGAATGATGAATCAGCCTGCTGCTCCATACTGTATTATCTCCTTATAGGCAAAGACCCTGTAGTTTTGCTCAGGTTTGCCACTTTGTGGCCATATAATCTTAACAGTTATATGACCTCCCAGGTCTCAGTTGCCTCACCTGTCAAACAGAGGACAAGGTGTTATCTATTTTACAGTGTTAGTATAAGTACTGATCTATGCAAAGACCTAGCAGAATGCCTGGCACTAAGCAATTGCTCAGTAAATGTTAACTGATGCCAAGTCTTATCATAATTATAAGCAGTGTTATCTTTGTATCCCCAGTTCATAGTACAGTACTAAGCACAGAGAGAGGGTGGGAAGGAAGCACGAGAGGATGGATGGACGGACTATTACTTCTAGCCTGTATCTTGTCTGACTTGCAGGCTGGTACCTAGAGACAAGCAGATTCCAGTGGTGTCTCTGGATAGAAGGGCACTGACCAGTTCTATGGATCATGATACCCTCTATGGAGGGTCAGAGTGAATGAAAGGCATGAGATGGTGACTGATGATTAAGATGGCAGGGAGATTTGGGAGTCATATAAAGAACACAGGATTGGGAAGAAATTCCGATGCCTCAGCTTGGGGATCAGATCTGCCCTTAGTTAAATGCTTGACTCTGAGTAAGTCATTTCCCCTTTGCGCCTCTGTCAGAAGTAAGACGAGGGATCCTACATCTAATTCCCAGCACCATGATTCATGAGCTCAGGCGAAGGATGGTGAACCGAAAGCCTAAGCCCACCAGTCTGGGAGTGGGAGTGTGTCTTCTAAGCCCACCAGCCTGGGAGTGGGAGTGTCTGATGCTGATAGGCTAGCAAGTGTTGTTTGGTCTCTAAACAACCACCCGTGGCTGGTCTGACACCAGCAAGGGGGAATGGGACATTATGTCCACAGGAAGGGCCTCTGGTCACCCTGGTCTCCAGGCCCTGATGGTAGGAAGGAAACCAGGCAGGCTTAGGAACTGCTGCCTCCCAGCTATTTCCCTCTCAGCTCTCTGCTGACCACCGAGTGTCTCGTAATGAGGATTGTTCCAGACCAGGCAGGTTCGTGTGTTTTCTGAACCTCTGCTTTGGTCTAATATGCTTTGGCATTCCCGCGCTGTCTGCCAGAGGTTGCAAAGTGGGCTTTTTGCGTTGTTGTTGCTCTTGCTGGTTCCCCACCCCTGCCCATTTTTCTCTCCCCAGGGCTGTCTGAAGACATAAGCTGGTCTCATGACCAAGCTTAGGCAGCCAAGGGCAACTGGCCAGGGCTGACTCTGGACATTACATAACCAGAAGGCTGTGGATGTTTGCAAAATTGAATCCAAAGCAACAGGTTCCACAAAATTAGTACATCCAGCCTCAGGACACAGGAATAAGAAAGCCTGGAGGTTGGCCTTGGGGATGGTTGGGTACCACCGTGGGCTGCGTCACTCCTCCACTCCCTTCTACCTGGACATTGCGGCTTGTCTCCTCTGGGGAGTTTCCAGGCCTGTGGGGTCTCACCCTCATGCCCGTATTAGACAGATAAGCATTCACCAAGTCACTTTTGCATGCCAGGTCCTACCCTAATTGCTAGGGATGCAAATATGAGCAATAAGTTAAAGGGCTGGACAGTTCCTGTGGACCTCAGCACACCCCACATTGAACTTCTGATGAGTCACACACATACCTGCCTCTTCTCTCCCAACCTGACTCTAGTTCCTAAAGATGGAAACTGTATCTCCCTCACGGCCTCCCTGGCTCCTAGCTGGGAGCTCTGCATGTAGAGAGGTGCTTACAAAGATGGGGTGATGAACCAGTTGCTGAGTTATTCAAGGTGAAGCCCCAGTCTTCTGTGCTAAGGCAATCACCAGTACACCCTTCCATTGTATACCACCCGCTCCTCCTTACAAGTAACATGGCCCGCATCCCAGGGTGCTTAGAATGCCTGAGCTAGAGAGGATGTTAGGAGCACCAAGCCCAACCCCACACTGTTAACAGGTGGCAAAACTGCGGCCCAGGAAAAGGGACAAGCCCAAGGTAAGCAGGCTATTTAGGAGTAGAGGTGAGACTAGGAGGCAGGTTCTCTAGATTTCAAATCTGGTGTTCTTTTTCTTAAGGGCATACCTCCTTCCTGTACTTCATGATGTTCATATCCTCAGTAATATGTTTAATGATAAGAATATGCTTAGCAAACATTGCTAACTATCTAGGATGCAAGAAGACAATCAGCTGGGAAAATAGGGAAAGAAGGTGAAGTTCCTGCCTTGGGATGAGGTTCCTGTGATCAGCACAGTTTCCATGTAAAGATTTGAGGGCTGTAAACCTAAGCTGTAACCTCAGTGGCTGCATGAAACCTGTAAGCACTGTTGAGTCCCAGATAGTCAGAGCTCAGAAGAGTTCATAGAGATGATCTAGTCCAACCCCCTCATTTCACAATTGGGAAGATTAAAGCCCAGAGAGGGGCAGTGACTTGACCAAGGTCTCATGGTTACGAGCTAACAAGGCTATCTGCCATCTGGCTCCAGAGCTCAGCTTCCTAACAAGTGCCTTGGAGTGACTCCACCTGCATGGGCTCTTGGACAAGGCAGCCCCATGCCCCCTCCCTACCCATCCCTTTATGCAGCCTTAGCAGCTCCCTCTCCAGCAGGCAGAAGGGCTGGGTCTGGCTGGTGCTTAGACACACACCCCAGTTCCAACCCACTTTGCCTCCCTTAGCCAGGACTCTTCTGGCAAAAACCCAAAAACCTTCCCGGAGCCAGGGTGATGACATTACCTACCTTCATCTGCTTGATGGTGTAGACCAGCGTGCCGAAGGGCCCCTCCTTTACCAGCTTCTTCCCCACCACCTTGGCCCGGATCACTGCAGAGACAGAAGGAGACAATAAGAGGTTAGGAAGGCCTGAACCACATCAGGAACAGCATCTCAGGGCGGGCACGCTAGCCTCTGTGGAGCCTGGAATTGCACTCTTACCTTGGAGCCAACTGGAATAGATGATTGTGTTTACAAGAGTGGGAATTCCCTGGGGTGAGAGGGAGGTTGGAGGAAAAAGAAACAGCCACCATTCAAGTTAATTACCCCAAATATTCACAATTGCCAGCTCCAGAACTTCCAAGGCTATAGTCAACCCCCGCCGACCCTGAGGATTTTCTTGACTTTGTGACTTTACCATAATCCAAAACCTACTTCTCCTGTTAGAGCCATTGTCCCCCCTCCCTTGTCCATCTGACAATGCCATGGTCTCCCAGATCTGTTCTCTTTCCACTAGGACCCCTTTCTAACCACCTCATTTGGGGCTCTTCCTTTGCATGCATTAATTCACCACATCTTGACATGTCTACAGGGTTGTGGTGCACCCTAGCTTCCCACAGTGCCCCCAGTTAGCATTCTGATTGAGCCCTTGGTATCCAGTGCTTAGATAGCAAGGGATGCAATAGAGTCTGAGCTCTATGGGGATGTGGTTAGAAGAAGGAGCAATTGGGAGTCGGGGCTCAGGAGCCAGACAGAACTGTTCCAATCTCAGCTCTGCTGTTTATGGCTATTGCGACTGTATGCAAGTAAGTAACTTTGTTTCTGGCCTCCTCTTCTATAAAACAGGAATCATAATGATACTAATCTCTTGAACTGAAGGGATTAGTCAAGATGACAAATGTGAAACTCTTGATACTGTCTTGGACATAGTTTGCACTAGACAAATATTATTAATATCATCATCATTATCATCACCAAAAATGAAATGGGCTAACCATGGAAGGGCTGTTCCAATGAAAACAGCTCCCATTTATTGCACACCTACTATGTGCCATGTACATTTCACTTATTTACTGCTCTTAACTGTCTTACAAGGGCAGTATTAGCATCCACATGATCTAGATAAGGTAACAGACCAAGAAGTGAAACCACTTCCTCTTTCTGAGCCTCAATTTTCTCATCTATAAAGAGGGTATAACTCTCTTTACATCAGGGAATTGGAATCAGGATTGAACGAAAGATCTTATGAAATTTCCCACTACAATGTCTGGCAGAAAGGATTTACCCAGTAGATACTAGTTAACTATGAATACAAAAGTAATTACACCCAGTGGGTTGAGGGCTGAAAGAGAGGCATTTACCACATGCACTGGGAACAGAAAGAGGAGAGGACTTGACTTTTAGATTCTACAAGGTTGTGCTTCTCTTTCTACGTTGTGTGAAAAAGAAGCACCCAAGAGCTGTCTTCAGGTATTTGTAAAATTGGCACATGGAGGAGCAAATGGACAGGTCTTGAATACCAAAACTGGAAATTGCAGAGAGTAACATTCATTGGCTCAACCAAAGAAAAAAATCGTCTAATAATAAGAACCAGCAACAAAAGGCAGGGGGGCTGCCATTAGGGCAGAGAGTGCCTCTATCAGGGGGTGTGATGAGGGTGCTGGATACTTCCATGCTAAGACCTCAACAGGAATTGGAATGGGGCTTGCTTATGCAGTCATACTTTGAATTACAAATTGAACTCCTTCAGCCCTGAGATCCTATCAATCTTTCTTATCTCAAGTTGCACTTAGCCCAAAAAGGAGTAGATACTCAATAAATGCTTGTTAAGTAAAATACCCTTCACACACACAAACACAAACACACACACACACATTTTGGTAGCTCCATTATCCTTCCTCATTGTGGATGCTCCACTATGTATCCCAGTTATTTGACTCTAATCTCTGTTTTTAAAAAATCTTTACTAAGAACTGATTCCTCATCCATACTGGATTCTGTCTTGTTTCTTTCCAAATGAGCTTGGATCCTACCCTTGCAGTCAGACATGAAGTCAGGGTTCAGATGAATCAATGGCCCCTTCAGACCTTCCCTGCCGGCGATGGCAAAACACACAGTCATTGGCAAAGTGAGCAATTTAGCGGAGGCAGCTCAAATTAGGAGGAGGCGAGTGGTTGTTTCCAAGTCTGCTGTAAAAACGAGAGGTTGGCAAGATCCCAGGCCAATGTCTGTCAAGATCCTGCATCCACCTCTGTTTCTAACATTGCGGTAGTATTCTCGGCGACAAGCCAGCCTCCCGGAGGCCCCGGGGACTGTTTCCTCCATATTAACTCTCACAGGCAGGTTATAACAGCTTCACCTCCGTGCAGAGGCATGTCTGCCAGCCTTTACCACTGATTCTTCCTGAAATGATTTGGACCCATCTTCTCTGCCTCATTAACACAGAAGGTAAACAAGGGAGCGAGTCTTGGCCGGGGGGTGTGGGAGGGGCAAGGCAAAAGGGATTCCTTTAAATAGCAACATCCTGGTTCAAAAATGGCTTGACTTGATTTAGACAGAAGATGTCACAAGCAGACCTGCCCCATAAAGCTGAGTACTGCTGGAAGCTTCTGCACATACAACCAGCCAACTCCTTCCTTACCCCAAATAGCCTGAGCTTGGAACCTTTTCATCTGAGGATAGTTCAGTGAAAAGAATACGTTTTTGTAGTCAGGAAGCTGCATTGAAGTTTGGGTTCCACCATTACTGTATGATCTCTCTGGGGCTCTTTCCTCCTGAATCTCTCTGGCTTTCTTAGCCCAGTGCCTCTCATGTGGCTAACAAGTGATTTGCTTATTACTATTGGAGCAGCAACATAGCATTGCATTAAAGAGCCTGGTCTCTGGAGCCTGAGAGCCAGGGTTCAAATCCCAGCCCTGGTGCTGGGTGACCTTCAGGAAGTTGCTAAACCTCTCTATGCCTTGGTTTCCCAATCTGTAAGATGGGAATGATGAAACAATGCCTCATAAAGTTGCTGTGAGGGTCGTATTAATATAAGCGCTGAGAACAGTATGTAGTCCATCCCAAACCTCATGTGTTTGCTACCACTGTTATTAGCATTATCACCACTATGGTGATGTCTATTTTTATTCCATCTTAGGGCATACCATCTTCAGACTTCTAACATGCACTGTAAGCTAAGGCCTGGGAGTTCTCCCTAGGATGAGAAGAAAGGCAACCTCATAAAAATATTCTAGCCTTACAGAACTTCAGGGAGAGGTGGAGAAGCACAGATGAAGTAGTCAGAACAAGTATAGGAGGTATTTTGGGATCAGGAGTGCCTACTCTATCACATGTACCCATCCCACCTTATCACCCATGTGTAACCCAAGAATTGCCTACTAAGACCAGCCAAACAAGATCACAGTCATGGTTCCAAAAGTCTGAGGCAGAGATGGCCCAGTGAAGAGGCCACATCAGTGTTTTCCTTACAAAAACAAAACTTCACTAAACTGAACTAAAATTAAGTTACATTCTGCCCTCCAAATAGATTCTCAAAGTCCTTCCAAAGTAGAATTGCTGGCCAACCCCAGATCCACCTATTTGGTTTGTGCATTAATCTGTCCGTATTTGCTCCAGTTTCTCCTCTGTAATTCAAATGTGTGCTATTTTGTACTCTCCTGTTTGGCAATCAGGGTTCTCCCGAGGCATTCGCTGGCCCAGGGGCCACAGGGAACAAGGGAAGTGGGGTGGGAGGAGGTTGTGCTTTTCCAACAACAGAAGACACTTTTCAAACTGGTAACTGGCAGCATGTCTAGCCATTCCTTCCACCTTGTTGTGGTGGCTAGAAGCCAGCTTTACAGATGGGCCAGGCTGGACACAGGTTGTCTTTATTCCCATTCATGCTGGAGTATGGCCCCTACACTGTCTACCCAGTGCCCCCAACAATCAAACCAACATAGGCATGAACTAGGTTGGTGTCTGGAACATTGGGTTGGGTGCTGGTGAGGGTGACAACAAGAAATAGAAGTCCTATTTCCCGCTTCCACTGATGGCTAGTCTAGTGGGGAGATAAGGTTTAAAAGTTTATGGCTGGCCGGGTGTGGAGGCTCACCACTGTAATCCCAGCACTTTGGGAGGCTGAGGTGGGCAGATCACGAGGTCAAGAGATTGAGACCATCCTGGCCAGCATGGTGAAACCCCATCTCTACTAAAATACAAAAATTAGCTGGGCATGGGGCCGCCTGTAGTCCCAGCTACTTGGGAGGCTGAGGCAGGAGAATCACTTGAACCCAGGAGGTGGAGGTTGCAGTGAGCCGAGATTGCATCACCGTACTCCAGCCTGGAAACAGAGCGAGATTCCATCTCAAAAAAAAAAAGTTTATGGCTAGAGGACTAGTCTCCAAGGTACAGAAGCACCAATCAGAGAAGGGAGAGGTGAGGCTCAGTGTGAATCTCAGCCTCTGAGCCTCTCTTGTCTCTCTAGAATTTCTTTTGCTCTTAGGAAGAGAATCTGGGCTTCTAGGGATCTGGTGGTCAAAAGAAGCAAGGAAGAGGCTGGGTGTGGTGGCACATGCCTATAATCTCATCACTTTGGGAGGCCAAGGCAGGAGGATCACTTGAGCTCAGGAGTTCCAGACCAGCCTGGGCAACACAGTGAGACCTTGTCTCTATAAAAAATAAAAAATTATAAAAATTTAAAACAATTAGCCAGGCATGGTGCCGTGTATCTGTAGTCTCAGCTACTCAGGAGGCTGAGGTGGGAGGATTGCTTGAGCCCAGGAGTTCGAGGCTACAGTGAGCTATATCTCATGCCATTACACTCCAGCCTGGGTGACAGAGCAAGACTCTGTCTCAGCAAAAAAAAAAAAGGAAGAAGAAGAAACAAGGAAGAGATTGATTAAGGAATAAGCAGTATTTCAATGTAAAAGTATCTAAGAAGAAACTAACTAGGATGTGTGAACTTATATAATGGGCACATTGATCTATAAATATATATGGGGCCCTCTTGAATATATCATGCGCCTGAGAAGCCAGGCATAGAGGCATATATCTCTATTGAACTGTCTTTGCTTCCTTTGAATATTTGTTTGGGCAAGAGTGCTAGTAAGAGCTTACAAAAGCAAGGCAAACAAGGCACACCTCTTCCATAAATATACCTTCATGCTGCCTCTCCCCACCTCCAGCTCTAGCAGTATGGACCACAGTGGCACAAGTTTTGAACAAAGAACAATTTTCCAATGGCAATTGGGATTGAGTTTCCAGAAAAGCTTACTGGTGTGTCTCCAGAAATTGCACATGTGCTGTTCATCAGCATAAACAGAGTGGGGCAAGATACCCTTGAGCTGCCCTCCCTCTCTCTCTCTGCTTCTATCCCCCATCCAACCATTGTCAACCAAATCCAGACCCTTCTTCCCCGACCTAATGGTTGGACTTTCCTACTGGCAGACTAGAAGGCCGAGCAACAATGCTACCCATTTGGCTGGTCTGGGGATCAAGGACTCCTTAACTAATTAATGTATACTAACTTAGGAGTCCAGGTTCCACCCATGGTAGCATCAACGGAAGAGCAGTACAAATCCTCTCCATGACTTAGGAGTTGATTCATGCTATCTAGCAGGTGAGATACCACCGCCACCCCACACACACACACAACACCCCCATTCCTGTCTCTCCAAAGACCCCATAGAATGATTTTGCTGCTTTAAGGCATGGTTTTTAAAAGGACAGCAAGGATAAGTAAGGGACGTCTGGTTAGTGGGTAGACTGCATTTCTTCAAATGCAGAAGTCACTGTTAGTGTCAGTCCCAGGGAAGGGGCTGCTCTTCTGATGGGACCCCAGCAGGCAGGCTCTAGGTAGGAAGAAAAGCCTGGACCATGGGCTCGCATCTTCGGCCTAGACTTGGAGGAAAAGAGGGATCTGGAAGTGTTGGAATGATGCCCTACCCATGAAAACACACCAAAAAGGAGGAAAGAGGGATCCCTGTCACCCAGCTTGTCTCACGGCCCCTTCGTGTGTATTTTATCATCTCCCACAGGATGACAAAGGGAGCGGCCTTGCTGAGGCCGGAGTGCTCATGGCAAAGGCAATAGGTCAGGGACCCACAGGGAGGTCGGCCTGGAGCCCGCCAAGCAAGCCTTTTTCCTGCCCACCTTGGACACTCTACAATGTAGCCTGCCCAAGGAGGGCAGAGCCAGGCTCTCTCACTCTTCCAGCTGCTCACCCATTCAAGAATTACAAACTGCTTGCTTTTCTTAGCATCACATTAGTGAATCTAGAGGAGAAGGAAGGGAACTAGAACATACTGATAACAACCACTACCATTTATCGAATGCCTCTTAGGTGCCAAGCAACGTGTGCATGTTCTTTAACTCTGTCCTCATGGCAAGCTGGTAAGGTGGCTACTGTTGTGGCTGTTAATGTCCCTACTTTCCAACTGTGGACAATGAGGATCAGGTAGCCTGTAAGCAGTTTTGCATCCTAGTGGGGGAAAAAAAAAAATGGGAGGTCCCCCAGGACAGCAGACCACCTAAAAACCTTTACATGGGATTTCACACTGGTTGCAAAATAGTTCATAATTTTACTGCATTCCCCACTTTCACTGCAGAGGATCAGAGAAGAAGATTGATACCTAAAAGGAAGGACCCTTGATAAGCTCCCAGTGAGCCCCACATCCCTTTGATCACCCACCCACCACCCTTCCCAATCACTTACACAGACACACAAACACATGTCCTCTGATTAGTAATAAAAATCTAGAAGTCATCGCCATCAGCAGTATAACAGTATATCGTATCATCTGTTTAGACCTTTGTGCTCCCCGGCAAGGCTTTCATGGAATAAAAACAAATAACTTAGAAACCACAAAACCACAGGCTCCCTAAGGGTTCTCCCAACACAGGAAGTTTGAAGTTAATTAGATTGATTAATTAAATGAGACAATGTATATGTACAAAGGTACTTTGTAACCCTGAAGCTAGACAAATGATACACTGTTATATTGCTGATGGTGATGACTTGTAGATTCTTAAATTTACTAATCAGAGGAAAACAGCAAGAGGAACCCGAAAGATTCTTGTGATTCAGCATTTCCTCATCCCCCCAGGATCTTGAGAACCTTCCTCAGTGACCCTTCCCAAGGTCCTTCTCAGATATCTGCTGCCTCTCTGGGGATGCTTTGATGATGTCTAGGTGAGAGGAAAGGGCCTTCGGAACTAAGGGTGAAAAGCAGAGGCCTGAGGGGCCTGCCTGGACTGGGTCCCTCTGATTCCCAGCCTATTGATCACCACAATCCCAACTCCCAAAAAAACCCTCCTGAAAGACTCAGAAGCTGAAAGGACAGATCAAGAAAACTGGAGAAGTGATCACGGCGTACTGGAATGAAAAACAGGCATGGAGCACGTGGGGTCTGGGTGAAGTCGCTGCCCTGTTTCTCTGTGACCTTGGGCAAGTCACTTCCCATCCCAGCAGATAAATTGTGGGTGATAATTACCAGCCTCCAAAGGTGCCTGCAATAACCTAGGCAGCCTCCCCCCTAACCTCTCCAAAGCAGTGCTTGTCGAAGTCACCCATGACCTTCTTGGTGCTCAGTCCGGTCATCGAGGTGCAGGCTCGTGGTCCTGCTATGTTCTTCCAGCTTGTGGGTCTCAGCACCATCTGCACAACTGACAGCTCCCACGCTTTTGCCACCGCCAACCTAGAACTCTCATGAACTTTTTTTTTAAACAAATTGTATTTTTATTTTAAGTTCTGGGGTACATGTGCAGGATGTGCAGGCTTGTTACAAAGGTAAACATGTACCATAGTGATTTGCTGCACCTATCAACCCATCACTGAGGTATTAAGCCGAGTGTGCATTAGCTATTTTTCCTAATGCTCTCCCTCCCCTACCCCACCCACCAACAGGCCCCAGTGTATGTTGTTCCCCTCCCTGATGATCTTTTTACTTATATATCCCAGAGTCTACATTTAGTCTACATTTATACCTGCAAGCCTAATAAAACATCTCAAATTCGACCCATCCAACACTGAGCTCCAGATAACAGGCCTTCCCTGCACCCGGGGCTCTCATGGCCTTCTTAATCTCAGGAAATTGTAGCTCACTCTACTGCACACCCTAGCACCCAAGCATGCTCTCAGGGTCTCTGACCTTGCAGTTCCCTCTGCTGGAACACTCTTTCTTCACTTGGGCGGGGGACCTTCCCTGATCCTGATCCATGCACATTCCTCCCCCTCCTCGCAATCCCTTGGCCCCTGACACTGTGCTCTATCAGACACTGGCCACCATCTGACATTATACATTAACTTGCTTCTTTACTGATCATCTCTCCCCATTAAAATGTAAGCCTCCCCGGGCAGCAGGTTCTTTGCTTTACCTATTGCTGTAGCCAAAGCTGCCCGAAGAGTGCCTGGCACATAACAGGCACCTCATATGTATTTGCTGAATATGGGAAGCTACGTGTGATTTCTTGTATAAAGTGCCACACACAGAGTGATTTAAAAACAGATAAATAATTCCTGTGCAAGCTCTGTCAAATGACCAGTCTTTCTAAGTCTTATTCAATCAAAAGGGGGTAACAGCAATTCTCGGTTCACAGGGTCAGATACACAACTCTTCAGCAACCAGGAAGGTGTTTCAGTATTGTGAAGACGTATACAGGGATAGAGAGATACATAAGGCTCCTAGGAACTCAAGGGCCAGAGGTGAGAGAGACCAGCAATGACACTCAAGTAAGGCAGGCTCAGCAATATAAGCAAGGACGGAAAGCCAGGACAGAGCCAAGAAGAGATGAAGTCCATCTCAGGGGAGGGGTGTCAGGGAATCGCCCTGGAGATGGCATCAGATCTGAGCCTCAGCCCATCCTGCAGAAGAGACTCAGTTTGCTGCGTCTGAATCCAGAGGAGGAAGAAGTCTGGATCTGATCTGGGTGGGGGGCGGAGGGGGCGGCGGTAAGGAGAGCAGCTGGAAGTGAGGCAGAATCACAGCCGGGCTCTGAGCAAAGCCAGAGCCGATCTCCCGCCTTTCCAGGAAGATGATGACCCCCCTCCCACTGCAAGAGCATGGGGGCTGGGGGCTGGGGGTGGGGAGCGGCGAGCAGCCTGAGTGAAGAGGAACTCTCTCTCTTCAGAGAAGTCCCACAAATAGGCTTTTCCTGCATCCTACCCTGGTCCCCCAGGGCCCTTCTCTCTTGTCCGTTTCAAAGGCCCTTTTCGTTGATGTCAACGCCAAGGCCAGACCGTTAACATGCACTCCCCATCAAGATAAGGAGTCCCAGTTCAAAGCCTGTCCTGACTAACTCTTTCCGTTAAGTAAAAATATTAATCTTGGTTTTATTTAAGCAGGTTTTTTTGGCAAGAAATGAATGCCTGTGGCTAAAAATAAACCCAAAGACACACACTCAGAAAATCTGGAAAGCTGCAAATCATTTCAACCCAAGTTTCCATCTCAGGGAAAGCTATTAAACCTGGAGGATATGAAAACCTCCCTGCCCAGAGATTCCTGTTTCTCAGTACCTGCCTTGTGTTCCGGGGTCCCCAGGGCAGGTCTGTCCTGGGGATGCCCTGTCCTGGACCTCCCGGGGAAGGGGAGGAGGGGCCTTTGTGAGCTCCTGGCTCTCCTCACCTTGTGAGCAGGATGGGTTTCTGCTTGAGCGGTCTGGGAAAAACTCAGGGCCCCTGCTGACGTCTGTTGTAGATGAAATGAAGGGGCCGGGAAGGGGAGGCAAGGAAACACAGGCTTAGGAAGGTCAGGCTTCCTGGAACTTTGAGATTACCCAAAAGAACACAACACAAAATTAGCATCCCATGCTGGCCTTCATGTGTTAAGGGGCAACCTCAGTTTTACACAATGAAATGACAAAATTTAAGAGTCGCTCCTTCTAGGTATATGCCTGGACTTGGGATGAATGCATTTGATGTTTAATCTAACTGCTTAAAGTCAGCCACTCTTGATTTCTTCCTGGGGCCACCAGCAATTTGGAAGAAAGGTACAGATACCTTGGCCTGGGACAGGGCAAAAGTCCTAGGGCTGGCTGATTCCTGGATTCAGGGCCGACTTACCTGGGGAGGGAGGACTGTGAATCTCAGAAGGGTGATGGTGTTTCTGTGACCTGGGTTTCTAAGGGTCCAATGAGGCGACTACCTCAAAGTGTTCACCAAGCATGATTAGAATCCCTGAGGCTTTTACTCTGCAAATGGCTGTCAGGTGGGAAATGTCAAAGCCCCAAAGGATAGACAGTGGGAAACACAGTCCTTCTCCCCTAAGTCCCCCACATTCTCCCAGGAACAAATGGGATCCACAACCCTCATTTACATCCTCACCTACACCTCCCTTGGGTTTGCAGTATCTACAGGATTATTCTGCATAGCTCGGTGGCATATATATGGCTCTTCAGAGCTGGGACCATACCTCAAACCCTATCACTCTGAAGCTTCCAGCCCCCATCACTATATGAACCTGTCCTATGATGCCCCTTGCCTAGGTGAGAATCACTTCCTCCCTGTGCATCTGCCTGCACCTTTGGCTTCCTGCAAGACCCACCCAGCTGAAATGCTACCTCCTCCAGGAAGCCTTCTGTCCACCCCAGGCCAAGCTAGTCCACCTCTCTTCTGCTTGGCTTTCCTCTCTTTCTTCCAGCACGTGTTCTTTAATGATTGGTTCCTTGGACACTCACTAGCATCGCTAATTACCGGATGGCAGGGACTGCATCTGGGACTCCAGCACATGGCATAGAGCCTAGATTGTGGCCAGGGTTCCCAAAAATGTTGAATGAATGAATGAATGAGGCTGTGGGAGGGAACCAAAGGTAATACAATAACGAAGACGGGGATGGTTTTGTGTTTGGCTTCCTGGAGTGCTGGGTCAGGAGTCCTTGTTCCATAGAGTTACTCAGAAAAGGAAGGGACAAGTAAAAATGTGATCTGGAGAGGCCGAATACCGACATTGTTCCAAAATATTGAAGACTGACCTCCAAAAAGAGGCAAGTCACAGGACCCTATTACAGGAGACCCCCATGAACTTGTTGATGTGTCTGTGGAAGGACAGCACCCAAAAGCTACCAACACATGAAGATCCCAAGGCTCAGCACCCTCAAGGAAGTCAGTGGTGACACCAAAATTAGCCCCAGGGAGTCTCCACCCAAGGCACTCCTTGCTAGACCTGCTGACTCCTCTGCAGGCCCTCTGGCCTCCAGCTGCCCCTCTTCCTTGTGGTAGCACTCAGGAAATATGAAGAGCATGGCAGGCTGTTTATCCAGGCCCCATCTCCAGGTCCTGTGTCCCTCTCTGCCATAGTGTTTATTGTTTGTTTTATTTTGCCACCCCCCCTCCTTCTCCTCAAGTCCACTTGAAATTCATTGATTCACTCATCTGATATTTATTCAGAAGTATTTGAGGAACTATGCATCTCAGATCCTGTGCCATGTCTTGGGGATTCAGTAATAAGCAGGCAGACAAGGTTCCTACCTTTAAGAAGCTTATTTTACTCTTGTGAGACAAGAAGACAGGGAGTTATAGTCCAGGGAGCCACAGGAGCATGCAGCAGACACACCCAGCCAGCCTGGAGGCGCCGGAGGGAGACATCCTGCCTGAGCTGGGATCAGAGAATCACTAGAGACAGTTAAGAGAAAGAGAAAGGAGAGGACCTTCTGGTCATGGTTGGGCAGAGGCCCGGAGGCTGGAGAGTCCAGCCCATTGGAGAGACAGAAAACAGAGAGTCCAACAAAGTACAGGGGTGCCTTGCAGTGGGCGGTAACTCCCAGCTTGGTAGGTTGGGTCTTGCTCCAACATGGGACAGTGCCATTTCTTAGGTGGGCTTCTACTCCCTGAGGCTAGTGATAAAGACTTATCACTCTGTCACTGCCCATAGACTTTAGGATTGCATGTATCCAAATGGGTGTCCAAACAGTCCATTGACAGGAGGCCCCCGAAGCCCCAAGAAACCCCTAGAAACAAGCCTGGGTCTTTGCATCAGAACCACAAATGATCTCATTCCAGTGCACATCCCATTTCTAATCTTCAACGTTAGTATTTCATGCATCTCTGTCTCCCGCCGTACCCTGTCTCCCCTCAAGCCCTTTCACCTCTTGGAGTGGTTTCGCCCTGGGTGTTTTGGCTGGGCATCTGTGCTGTGCTCTGAGGAGACATCAAGTTTAAGGGGGCATGCTGACCTCTCAAAAGCTCAAGCCCACTCAGGGGTCAGAGGCGCCGACTTGCTTACTGCCATGCAAGTGCACTCGGTGAGGGGGGCTGAGACCACCCCCTATCCCCTGAGAGTGCTCCAGCCTCTCCACGGGGGCCCATGGGAAACTTTATCCCACACAAGTGGCCACCAGAATAGCAGCATGGTCTTCAACCACAGCCCCTTTGAAGCAGTGCCCAGAAAAATACCATGCCCTCAAACGGTTCTCAGAACTTCCAGCTTTCAGGTCGGGGCATTTTTGAAGCCCAAACAGCTGGCAACATCTCAGGAGCCATCTATAGCATTTTATTTTTCTCCTAATTGGGATTTTGTTTGCTAGGAGAGCTGAGGGACTCTGGGATAGGCCTAGGAGCAAGTCCACCATTAGCCAAAGAACCACCCTCCTTTGCACGCCAGACCCGCAGATGCAGCCTTTGCAGACAGCAAATCTGTTCCCAGAATGCACCAGGAGTGGGCAGGAGACTTTCTTGTGGTTTGAACAAGAGCCAATGGCTGCTCTGTCTATGGATTTTATACAGCACAGATGCCAAGGAGACCCTGGTACATCTATAACTTACCCTTCATGTGGCTTTTAAAATAGTGTAGGCTTTCCTCACCTTTAAGTTCCACAAGCTTCATTCTGTAAGGTTGTGGACACCCAGGGCCATAGTTTGGAAGGCCCACCTGCTGCAGCGGGTGTCCCCTACTCACTCAGCACCTCCCTTCCAGCTCACAACCACATCACTCACATAGTGGGCACTCAGGTAGGAACAGGTACGAGAAAAACGAGCCCATACATAGGTCTTCAAGCCCTAAGACCATTATCAGGAATCAATAGCACTGAAGGTGCGGAGGAATGATTAAAGAGAAGATCCAAATCCTTTTAAGGAAACCTTCATTTTAAATAAAATAAATAAGTAAAGAATGCTAACTGCTGCCCTCTTTGGTCAAAGTGGGTAATGGCAGAACTATAAAGCCAACCTCTGGTATTTCTGAACCACCTGCCCTGGCCTTGAAGTGTGACAGGGAGATGGAGTCATTGATAAAGAAGGAGAAGACCAACTACTCTATGAACATCGTGTCTGTGCAATCATGGTGCCTAAACCTCTTATTCATTCAGTAAATATTCACTGAGCACTTACTATGTGCCAGGCATTGTGTCAGGTGGCAGAAACAGAAAAGTGAACAAGACAGACACACTTTACAAACAGTACATCTTACTCTTAAAACCATTCCCCAAAATGTGTAGCTTTATTTCCACTGAGTATAGGAAGAAAACAAGTCTCAGGATAGTTAAGAAACTTGTCAGAAGTCACACAGCTAGGAATCCAAATATGCCCAGCAGCAAAGCTCATCTTCTTTCTACTACTAAATATTTAACAAATCTGAAACACCCCACCAAGTCAAATGCATTGGAAATGCGGAGATAGGGAAAATTCCCAAGACTGAATTATGAGAGAAGGGCTTGTATAAGTTACAGATGGTGAGAACTTTGAGGTGGAGTTAACTCTCCATAACTCTTGTAATGTCTAAGAATCTCATCCAATGGTGAAGTCTGGATTCAAATCTCCACTTACAAGCTGGGTGGGCCCCAGGGCTCTCAATGCCAGATTGAGGGTACCTTGGCTTGCAGACAAAGGGCAGGAAGAGAGAAGTCCAGTAACTGACCTGAAGCCCCCTGGTTTGAAGACAGGGAGCTCAGCCCTTTGGACCAAAGAGTATGGCAAGGGGCGAACAAGTATACTTTTTTAGACATCTGATCGGCAGCCCTGGTCTAAATCTCTCAGTTGCAAAGCCTTGGGGCCTTTGCACATACCATTCTATCTGCATGAGACCCTCTTCTGCTCCCCATTACCCATCAACTGCCACTCATACTTCACATTTAAAATCAAAAAACACTTCCTCACATAAAGCCATCCCCAACCACCTCCTGCAAGCATAAGACTAGAACAGAACCCCTGTTTTGTATTCTCAGGGGCCCTAGTGTGTATGTAACTATATGTTCGTAGATTCATTTGAATCATGTCTCATCCTCTTTCTTCCCTGCCCCCATACACTCACTAAATTCTGCCGGAATTACATCTTGCTTTGCTCACAATTGTATCTAACCGCAACATCTCACAGTGTCTGGAACATAGTAGGTGCTCAGTGGGTGAAATAAGACATCTTTTCCATCTTGGCCCTTATTGATTGCTTCCTAAGAAGAGTGTATCACCCTACCTTTCTCTACTGTGCACTCTGTCACCCAGTATGTGCAATTAGCTGCAACATTCCAATGCCAATTCCGCTGCATGAACTGACTCAGAAGAATGTATAGGGTTTTGATCATGGAAAGAAAAGAAGGATGGTCCAGGCAATGGAAACAGCACAAACAAGGGTACAGCAATCAGACCAAGACTGACAGGTCGGAGGTCACATGGCTGAGGACTGCAAAGACCCTGGCTGAAGAGAAGGGGAGGCCACTAGTTCATTCTGACTGAAGGGAATGTCCAGTTCCCTGGGTGACAGATATAAGCTTGAATGGAGGATTCTTTAGGACTGTTCCACAAACTAGGTCTGTTGTGGATCCAGTCATTTCTGGGTCTCATGCAGACCCCTCTCCAGGTGCCAGGATGGTACCCTGTACCAGATAGGAATCATATTTTCTGGGTTTATGGGCCACCCGGAGTGCACCTCTCCCTGCAAAGCACAGGGCCAGCTGTCCTCTTTGAAGGAGGGCTGTAATGATAAACTGCACATGCCTGCTTCTGGACACTAGAGTCCTCTAGAGCAATTGCCACACCACAGAGTATCTGCAAAACATACACAGCACCAGCCACCTCCCCCTGCCACCTCCACTGCACATCTGAAAGCTGGCAGGGTTTTGCCTAAGTGACCAGTGGCTGCATGTGACACTTCTTACTCTGCCTGCCCATGGGAGGCTCCTATCAAAAGGTGGGCTTGGCCGGGTGCAGTGGCTCATGCCTGTAATCCCAGCACTTTGGGAGGCCAAGGCAGGCTGATCACCTGAGGTCAGGAGTTTGAGACCAGCCTGGCCAACACGGTGGAACCCCGTTTCTACTAAAAATACAAAAAAAAAAATAAATTAGCCAGATGTGGTGGAGGGCACCTGTAATCCCAACTACTTGGGAGGCTGAGGCAGGAGAATGGCTTGAACCTTGGAGGCGGAGGCTGCAGTGAGCCGAGATCGTGCCACTGCACTCCAGCCTGGGCAAGAAGAATGAGACTCCATCTCAAAAAAAAAAAAGCTGGGCTCAGGTAGTCCCTGAAGCACACCTCCAACCCCTGTTCCTAGATGTTCCTGGCTGGAATAACAGAACAAATTGGAATACATTTTCCATTATATGCCAGTGCTCTCGGAGGATAAGCAATGAGAGTACCAGGGATGAACACATTTGGTCAAACACTGACACAGAAAGCAGGAGGATGGTCATGTGGGTAGTTCCCCACTTTCCCTAATTATAAAAATCCTATTGTCAATGATTACAATACTAATTCTAATACTATTATTAGTTACAATAGGTGCCATCAGCTATCAGGCACTTTCCATGCATGATCAGTGCTAAATGCTTTCCGTGGATTTTCCCATTTGAGCCTCACTAGGGCCCTATAAAGTAAGTGTTGTCATTAGCCCATCTTTTAGAAATCGAGGCCTGTAAAGAAGAAGTGACTCTCCCCAGATCATCTAATGCGGAAGTGGTGGACATAGCATGCCAGTCCAGGCAGCCTGAATTGGGAGCCCCTACTTCTCATCTCTGGGTCCTACCTGCCTTCCAGAAGGACATGTTAAACTACGGCACAGTGGCATGGGCACATTTCACAGGCCACAGACTTTAGGTTGGGTGGGACCTTCAGGGTCACTCAGTGTAAGCTCCTTTGAATTTCTTCTACAGTCCCATCCCAAGGTTAAACTGCCCAGTGTGCAACCATCTCTGACCTAGGTCAGCCTGTTCCATGTCAAGCCATTTTTTTTGACTATAAAAAAATTCTCCTTTGGACTGCTTCCCTGTGGCTTTCTCCCACCTAGGTGACATCTTGGGCTTACAAAAAAACAAGATATTTGAAAAGAAGGGTCATGTTTCCCAAATCATCTCCAGGATAAATATTTTCATAGATTAGGATGGTCTCTCCCTGCTTATGACATGGTCCCATGTCCTTCGACCATCTCAGTCTTGCTGGGGGCCAATGACTCTCTTAATGGCTTTGTTAGGGGATAAATGCAAATTTCCCAGGAGCCACCGATCAGTATACAAGGTTGAGAGTTCACCTTCCCCACTTGGAATCTTTTTACTGCTGGTAGGACAGCTTGAGACTTCACCATCATCTATTTAAGTACTTCTAGTGTTAAAAAATGTGTTAAGAAGGTAGATCTTGCTGGGCGCGGTGGCTCACGCCTGTAATCCCAGGACTTCGGGAGGTCGAGGCAGGTGAATTCCTTGAGCTCAGGAGTGCGAGACCAGCCTGGGCAACAAGGTAAAACCCTGTCTCTACGAAAACCACGAAAAAAAAATTAGCTGGGAATGGTAGTACGTACCTGTAGTCCCAGCTACTTGGGAGGCTGAGGGAAACGGATCACTTGAGCCTAGGAAGTTGAGGCTGCAGGAAGCCAGTATCATGCCACTGCACTCCAGCTGAACGACAGAGTGAGACTCTGTCTCAGAAAAAGAGAGGGGCGAGTATATCTCATGTTAAGTATTATCACAATAAAATAAAATAAAATAAAATAAAATACTCGAGGGTTTTCAAACCAGACTCTGTCTCCCAACTTTGATGTGATTTAGTGAATAACTCTACGTACTCTACTAAATAACTGTACTCATCTGGGTGGCCAAGTATAATAATTTTTTTGAAAAAAAAAAAAAACCCAGGCTTATTACGTAGAAAGTATTGAATAGCAAGAAGAGCCCTGGGCCAGGAATTGGAAGCTAGATACTCTTTCTGTTTTTTTCCATTCATTTTCTATGTGAGTTTGACAAATCATTTCCTCCTGGAGCCCTTGTTTTTTATTGTACAAAATGAACACGTTGGACTGGACATATTCTAGTGTCCCAATTAACCCTAGAATCTAAGAGTCCCATCACTTTATATTTCTAACTCATGCATTTCCCCTGGGTTCCACTTTCTCTTCGTTGTAGTGGTCCAAGTTGTCACGTGCTTCCTGTTTGCTATGTTCTAAAATCACATTTCTGAAAAGTCAAACTTGAGTTAAGACATTAGGATGCTTCAGCTGCCTCTTCTAGCTTTGTCTTCAGTCTCTTTCTCAGCCTGGGATCTGTCTGGGTGATCTGCACTTAACAAAACTGGGGACAGAAACAAGTACGGAGTTGGCCCCTAATCACCCCACCTGGTCCATCAGCTGCACATTCAAACTGAGAGGGGCCCATTTGCTAACTAGTGGGACATTGCTGATCTGTAACAATGCCGACAGCCTGCCACGCCTGCCCTGCCTGCCCCTGAGGAGGGCACATTATTCAGCTCCTTGCCTCAATTTTAGTGCCCTTCAACAATCTGTTTTCTTCATTAGCCACTGTCTTTTTTTGGTGGAGGTTGGGGGGGGTGCAGTGACATCCTATTTTCCAGGCTGACAGTCCAGCCAAGAGTAAATTAGTTACAGTGTAAATAAACCTGGGATAACTTCACAGCTTAAAGTGCATTAGGGGAGCACTGGACATTAATGCCAGGAAGGGAGGGGCAGGTGGATCCTGGTGTTAATGCCAAGTAAGGTCTTTTGCTCTGGCTCTGTGTGTTCTGAAATCTACATACAGAAGAATTCTAAAGAATGCCGAGAAGATAAGGGCTTCTGCCTTCAATCTTCCAATTATATGCTAGTCCTTGGTAATAAAAATGCTTCCAGGATAGCATCTCCATGGGGACCAGGCTTTACTGCCCCCCAACTCCGACCCCCACATATCAAGTGGAGATGTGCACAGCCATGAAGATGAAAATCCAGCCCCGCTGCCCTGATCATCTGGCTTTGAAGTAGCTGAAACAGCTCTCACAGACAAGTAGACTCTTCAGAGGATATCAGCCCACTCTAATGCTCTGAGTTAACTTTAAACAATTCACCTCTTCTCTGGGTCCCTTCAATTCCCAGGGACACCATCCAGCCCCGTCCTCCCTCTTAAAAATGGCAGAGCACCTTGGATGGCTGATTTCAAACATTCTTTGAGAGTCTCAGAAAAAGGTGTTTTTAAAACAGGAAGGAGCTCTCTTCTGCCTCAGGCTCCCACACCCTCCTGAAGGACATGCTTGAGGCATAAGGGTCACGCTGCCACCTTGATCTCAACTTCAACCTCAGCCCAACCTGAACCTAGCCAGCCTGCATCCCAGCCATGGAAGCTGCTATTTTTGAAATAGAAGGAATATTCAATACTTTTCACTCTGTCAATATTTTTACCTTCATGTTTCTCCTCTTCCCCCACCCCTGTGCCCCTGGTTGGGGAAAAAAAAACACACATTTTTTTAAAAGCTAAACAAAAACAAAACCCCATCCAGGCTGAGGCCAGCAGATCGCGGTGTTCTGGGTGGATTTTGCTACGTGCCAGCGAAGACCATCAGCAGGATTTGCAGGAAACACCTTGCGGAATCCACTGGGAGAAGCCAGGGGCCACAGAGAAGCGTGAGGCGGATACACTCACGGTCCATGTGACTGGCTGGCTCCCCAGGCCTGGGTACAGGAAACAACTGTGGGATTCCAGGGCCCTGCAGGGACAGACACACAGTGGTATTGCGGGGGCGGGGGGGTGGCCCTGTGGATCCCTCTGGTGTTTTCCAACGAGAATTCCTTTAACTCGCATATCTATTCCCAGCTGCCTGTGCATGACCTGTGCTGAGGGGACACAATAAGAAAGGTCACAGGCAGCTTCCCAAGAGCTTCCGTTCCAGGATTTGGCTGAAGCTCTGTTTCTGTGAAAGAGGGGCACACAGGGCAAAGACATGAGCACTTGGGCACCAGAGAACCTGGGGTTGAATCTCAGCTCCAGCTCCTCCTAGCTATAGACTGTCGGGCAAAGCATGTAACTTCTTTTCAGCTTGAAAAGGGAGATGCAATCATACAAGGCTCATAGGATGTTGCAGGCATTAAGGGAGATACTCCCCTTGAGGTACTTAGCACAGTGCCTGGTGCAAAGTAACCACTCAGTGAACAGCAGCGGTGACTACTGTTTTGTGAGAGGCCCCCTTTCCCAAGACAGTGAAGAGGCTAGAGGGCAGCGGGAAAAAGGACGAAGGGGTTCCAAGAAGAGAGAAAAGAAAATGCAAAGTACTAGCTGGGACCCATATGGGCCGTGCAAGCTCACAGCAGCCTGGCTGCCAACCTTCCTCCTCCTGAAATGTCGGCTGCCCCACTTACTCTTGTTTGGAGCATTTCAGTTTCAGGTCAGGTTGAAGCGAGGGACATTGACTGGTATCAGTCCAAGTGCAGTGAACACCCCAGAGCAATGCAGAGAGAGGCCCAGCAAGAGGCAGGAAGAGGAGGCGTCACTGGAAAATGCTCATTTCTCATTTAAGTCTGTCAGGGTCGCATCTTGGTCCCATTCTACCCAAGGGTGGGGTGTAGTTTGGTTGGGCCAAAAGTGGTACGTCAGAGTGCATGGTGAAGCCCGCTGACAAACCTTCCTTCTGGAGGAGCTGTGGGTGTGGGAAGCCAGCACTGATGTGCAGAGTGAGAAATGAGAGCTATGGAGTTGGCAGGCCTGCCTGGGCCAGGGTCAGTGCCCGGGGACCGGCATTGTCCTGGCTGGAGGAGGGAACAGCCAGTGGCCAGCAGTCTGTGAAGAGGCTGGGGTAGAATGAAGGCCAGACCCAGGCCAATTAAGGTCTGATGAAAATCCGGGCCGTTTTTCACGAAACAGGAGGCGGGCAGCCCTGCTGCGGTGGGGATGCTGGCTAGATGGAGCATCTGGCACCGATCAATTCCCAGGCCAAGAAGTGAGCCTACATGTGGGTGCAAATGAAATGCCGAAGGCCCGGGGACCCCACCCCCTCTGTCTTTGCCATAATGAAGTGCCAACTGGGAGCCAGCTGGGCAAAGGGGACATGTTGCCTTGCTCCGTCCACTGTTTGGTAACAATTACGAGCATTCTTTCAGCACCAACAGGAACAGTAAGCTGGGGGAGCAATTCTTTGAGCCACCAGGCGTGATCACGAAAGGAGGGTTTAGATCAAAGAGGGTATCAGTAATGTTCAACGCACCTCATGGGTCTCTGGCCTGGGACTAAAGCCGGCAATGGGATGGGGGAGCTGCTAAGAAGTGCCGAGCTGAATTAAGCAGTTCCTCTTTCATCTCTGCCCGTCTTCTTCAGCGGTACCCTCTGAGGGTAGAAATGGTGCCAGTTTCAGCTGGTTCCATGTGCCAAGTTCAAGTCCGCTATAGGGAGGAGGCTGGTAGTCTCCTCCAACCCTCAAGACCGCTCCTGGGGCAGTGGGGAGGTAAGGACCAATGTACCCAAGATCCTTGTTTTTTGTCTTTCCCCTCCTCATTGTGGGGCCCCCTAATGAGAGAGGAAGAGTGTGAATTTCCTTATGTGACTGTCTCCCCCAAGCTTGGCTGATATACTCTTCAGCCCCTACTCCCCTCCCCACCGCTGGCTCCAGCACTGAATCTGGGAACGCTCAGTCCAGCGTGCTGATGAGGCAAACACAGGGAAGGAAAGAGCTCAGTCTCCCAGAACCGGCCAAGAAGTCTATAGTGGGTAGGTAAGAACTCCCGCTGGATTGGGAAACCTTGGTTCTAACTGCCTGGACCACTAACTCATGAGGTAGCATCAGGCAGGTCACTTCCTGTCCCTGGGCCTGTTTCCCCAACTGGGAAGCAAACAGACCAAATAAAGGCCCTTAAAGTCTATGCATGGGTATGCCCTGCCTGTGGCCTAGAAGGCTCATCTAGAAGAGTGGAAAAGACTTATTTCAATTCTGCTCCTTCTTTCCTGGGTGCACAGCACCCAGCCAGGGATTGGATCTCTGACCTTTTTCTGAGGCTGGCTCTAACACAGCAGCCGGCAGATGGCAGAATTTTTTAGAGGCCTGTATCTCTGAAAGATTTGCTACTTCACATCAACATAAAAGAATGTTGTCCTAAGAAGCTGTCTGCTCCTAAGTGGCCCCGTAAGAACTTGCCCTCTTGAGTTTCCCCCACTTGAAGGCTGGAGCATAAGAGCTAAGTTTGAATCCAGCACAGACACTCACTAGCTGGGAAACCAGGGCAAGACACTTCACTTGTCTCAGCCTCAATTTCCTAGCTGTCAAAAGGGCATTCTTTCCTGCATTTAACAAATGTTAGAGTTTCAAGTATCTTCTAGATGGTGAACAAGACCAACAAGGTCTCTACTCTCCTGGTGCCTAAGTAACGGAGGAGGAATCAGGCCAAACAATAAGACAAATACCCAATATGATGGCAGGTGCTAGGAGGCAAAGGGGAATAGACAAGGAGGCTGGTAGGAGGGGAAGGGAGGCAAGGAAGGCCTCTCTACGAAGGTGACATTTGAGTTGAGACCTCCATGATGAGAAGGGGCCAGCCAGTGAGTATCTGGGGGATGAGGTGTTCCTGGAAGAGAGGACAGCAAGTTCAAAAGAGACAGTGACAAACTTGGAGCCTGGAGCATTTGAGGAATAGCTAGAAGTATGTGGCAACAGCAAGGCCAAGGGAGACAGAGGCCAGATCCCGTAGAAACTTCTAGAGCTTCTTGAGGAATTAAGAAGCCACTGGAGGGCTTTGAGCAGGGCATTGGCAGAGATGTGACTGACATTTTTTAAAGTTCACTGTCTACTTGTTGGAGAAAGGATTGTAGGGGAGTGGCTTGTAAAAGCAAGGGAGTTCATGATAGTCATAACCACCTCTCCCTTGCCCACCCACTCTGGGGTCATTGTAAAGCTCACATGAGATTCATGCTGACACCTAGAAAA
Organism: Homo sapiens; assembly: GCF_000001405.40. NCBI lineage: Eukaryota > Metazoa > Chordata > Mammalia > Primates > Hominidae > Homo > Homo sapiens. Next base: position 32,827,501 of record NC_000022.11, on the reverse strand, counting down.
GCCCAGAGGTACGGGAGGAGGTAGATATCATCACATGTTTTAAAATCCATTTGTACAAGTAGGAGCTTGCAGGGACTGGCACCAGGGTATTTGGAACTGTGTTCCTGTATAGATTTCAAGGAAACGGGGTAGGGTGGCAGATTCTGCCCAGCCTGAGCTATGCAGCTGTCCAGGCCCAAATGAATTCACATATTTAAACTGGGAGCTTTGCTATAGGCCACGCCTGGCTCTGTTTTTGCTGCTGGTGCCAGACAGGGGTAAGCTAACACCCAGCAATGTGGAGAAGCTGACACTCCACGCAAAGTCACTCGCTGAATTCCTGGCCAAAGCTCATCTCTCCTGCCCTCACTTTCAGAACTGGGAAGGAAACAGCAGGAGAGGCTGGAGATTTATTCACTCGGGGATTTTTAACTTCAGAGTGGGCCCCTGCGAGGTCAATGATCAGCAAAACTCCAGCATTCCAGTGAACAAATCTCAGTGCTCAGAGCAGCAGGGATTGAAAGCATCTTGGGTTCCAGCTTGCTTCCTTCAGCTGGGGTTTGGAGCTGGAGGCTTGGATTCAAATCCTGTCTCTGCCTCTAGGTTCCCTCAAGTGGAATAAGAAGATCAGTGGCAGCAGGCTCCTAGGGTTGTCACAGGGATCAAGTGGGAGAGCAGAATGCAAAAACCCTGCCTAATGCCTGCCACATGCACTCACTCCCCCATGAACTCCTGAGTGGCAGGCTTGGGACTGGATAGTGGACGCCCTGGTGCCTGGTAAATGTTTGCAGAATCTGAAGACACGTAGTACATTTTATTCCAGCTCAAATAGGCTAACTAAGATGCCAGGAAGTTCAGAGAAGAGAATAGTCAACAAGATGACACATAGTGAATATCTAGTTTTTTTCTTTCTTTCTTTTAAAGTGTTAACTTCTCAAGATTCTGCCTGTCATCTGTACAATGCAGATACTGAAATTTCCCAAAATTTAACAAAATAGGACCGAGGTTATCTGGTTTTCTACTTTCTCCATGCTCTTTATTTTCTTACATTATTACCTTTTTAAATTTTGTTTATTTATTTATTTATTTATTTTTGAGACGGAGTTTGCTCTGTCTCCCAAGCTATAGTGCAGTGACACAATCTCAGCTCACTGCAACCTCCGCCTCCCGGGTTCAAGCGATTCTCCTGCCTCAGCCTCCTGAATGGCTGGGATTATAGGTGTCACCACCACACCCAGCTAATTTTTTGTATTTTTAGTAGAGATGGAGTTTCACCATGTTGACCAGCCTGGTCTCAAACTCCTGACCTCAAGTGATGCTCCTGCCTCGGCTTCCCAAAGTGCTGGAATTACAGGCGTGAGCCACCACACCAGGCTCATTATTTCCTTTTTAACTTAAGTAATACAACTTCACTAAAGAAAGGTTGGGAAAAAAAGAAGTCAACAAACAAACAAAAACCTATAAAATAATTGTGTAAATGACCTAAACTCCCACTGTCCAGTTATAACTATGCTTTATATTTATATTACCTTCAAGACTTTTCCCTATGCTACTATAAACTTGTGGATACGTCCCCTGCTAATAGAATCATCCAAAATGTGCTTGGTGATCTGGTTTATTTCAATCCCAATATATCAGTTCATATAGCTCTGCCTCATCCCTTTGAATGGCTATGTTGTTTTCAATTGCATAGATACAGAAATGTTAGTTGGATGCTTTTATAAACAACTCTATGATAAACATCCTTGTGTGTTTATATCTGTACATGCACATATGTACAAATAAATATGTATTATATATATAAGCATACACACATACACACATCTTTTTTTTTTTTTTTTTTTTTTTTTTTTTTTTTTTTTTTTGAGATGGAAACTCGCTCTGTCGCCCAGGCTGGAGTGCAGTGGCATGATCTCGGCTCACTGCAACCTCTGCCTTGCGGGTTCAAGTGATTCTCTGCCTCAGCTTCCCGAGTAGCTGGGATTACAGGCGCCCGCCACCACACCCAGCTAATTTTTGTATTTTTAGTAAAGACGGGGTTTCACCATGTTGGCCAGACTGGTCTTGAGCTCCTGACCTGGTGATCCACCTGCCTCAGCCTCACAAAGTGCTGGGATTACAGGCGTGAGCCACCGTGCCTGGCTAACACATACACACATCTTAGCATACTTACCTGATTATTTCCTCTGGATCTAGAAGTTCTCTCCTCTTTCTAAACCTGCCATTTTAGTAGTAACTGAATCCAAGTCAGCAGATCTTCCGCCAGCCATCAGCTGGCCACCCTGCAGACCTCTACATGCAGCATTCAGTATAACTAAGGAAGCCCTAGACACAGTTTCTCAGTTCCCACGAGCTCACCCATCCCTCCCCCAAGTCCTCCCACCCACTGCCCCTGTCCCTACCCCTAGAGGCCAGCTGTTTACCAAACCCGAAAGAAATCCTATCTGCCTGAGTCCTGTCCCTTTTCTGCGCTCATTGGACCCAGCCTGCGATTTCAAAGTTCCAGGGTCTGAGTAGATATCCCAAGACAGGCGGGGCCAGGAAGAGCCTAATCGTTTATGTCATAAAGTCACTGCTCAAAGCCGCCTCCCCAAACAAGGTCCCTTTCTGCCTTCTGTGTGCTCCTTTTCTTATAAAAGTACTCTGGTTGTCATGGGCAATCAGTATTCTGCAAGAGTAGGGAGCATCTCTTTTGGTCAGAGAGTGAATGCAAACTGCCATGTCTTTACTCAGTATCAAAGACATCTGCCTCAAACACTGGTTCAGAAGCGAAAGAACAACATCGAAAGCAGAGGAAATGGATCCAAATGTTTCCTATGAAGGGAGTCATCATAACAACCCATTCAACGAATACAAGTAACTTCCTTTTATTTGTATACAGAGAATTTATATCATACATGCATGCCTCTAACCAGCCTGAGTTCAATGACATATATATATTATTTAATTATGCAAAAAATATATACATATATACACTCCATTTTAAAAGGGCAATTCCTCCCACCCCTGATTCTTCAGTGAGCTCCAGACAGGGATCTGCTGTTGTCTCTGGTGGTGCCAGTCCCTATATGACTACGGGGTTTAAAGACAGATCCTGAGATTGTCTCACTCCCTAAAAGCATCTCAGCTGCTCAACCTGAGGGTACTTGACAACAAAAAAAAAATAGTAATCTGTCACAACACTGATGGAACTGCTGGCTCAGGTGGAGTTATGGAGAGATGGCACTGTATTTTTTTTTTTTTTTGAGATGGAGTCTTGCTCTGTCGCCCAGGCTGGAGTGCAGTGGCGAGGTGTCGTCTCACTGCAACCTCCACCTCCCAAGTTTAAGTGATTATCCTGCCTCAGCCTCCCAAGTAGCTGGGACTTCAGATGTGCGCCACCACACCTGGTTAATTTTTTGTATTTTTAGTAGAGATGGGGTTTCACCGTGTTAGCCAGGATGGTCTCGATCTCCTGACCTCATGATCCGCCACCCTTGGCCTCCCAAAATGCTGGGATTACAGGCGTGAGTCACCGCGCCTGGCCTGCACTGTATTTTACAGGAATGTAAGGGTTTTTTGACTTTCTATGTGCTGACTTCATAAGATGTCACTCCATGACCCTTAGACATATAGGTGTCAAAAGACCTTCACCTATAATCACCTGTGGCAGGGCACTGTGGGGATGTACCATCTTATAGGAGTGGACATGGGGCTCTGGAGGCAGAGTGACTTGCCTGAGACCACATGGATGGCTGGGGAGTTCATTCTGACTGCACCCCACGTCTTTTCACTCCAAGTCTGGAGCTGCCTCCCCTGCTCCTACACGGCCTATTATTAGCACCATGGGAGCCCACCAAGCTTCTTCCTGCCTCAGCCAGTTACCATGCTGTCTGTCCAGAGACCTGCACTCACGGCCCCCTAAGTTGCTCTTGGCAATGCTTCTCCTTCCCTCCAATTGCTATTCCTGCTGGTGGCTGCTCACCCAATCCCAGACCACCACCCTCCAGGCCTGGTCGGCTCTGTGCTAATCCACTGGACCCTGGCTGCTTTGGGGCTGGGACACAGACGGCCCACTGCATCCTGGTTTCTGAGAGGAGACTCCCTTTGGCCAGCCCCAGGTTCAAATCTAGCTCATCTATTTAAGAGAGGCAGAGGACATCCACCCCACTCACAGCTCCCAACAGAAACATCCCTTGCGGCATTCTCTGTGGCAGGTCCCATCTCCTGCAGGGACCTTGGAGAGAGAGGATTTCCAGCGTCAGGTCCGTAAGAGCAATCAGGTAACTGACCACGGGACTTACAAGTCCCACCAGGAGCCAGAAGGTGGCGCCTAGGAAAGGGATGGGCTGTGCTGGCTTCCTACATGATGCTCTAGACCCAAAAGCAAGGGTCACTTGAGTCCTTGCTTTCCCACCATTGTTCTTTTATCTGATTATCAAATGATGTGTCAATGTAGTGAAATTTTATTTTCCAGAAAACACTGGATCAAATTAAAATCATCCAAAATCCCACAGCGCAGAGTAACTAGTGTTGATATTTAGTATACAGACATTCAGACTCTTCTCTAAGCATCTGGATGCACATTCATCTCTCTCTCTCTGTTTTTTTTTTGTTGTTGTTGTTGTTGTTGTTTTTAACAAATTGGCTTCTGTTACTCAAAAGTGCACCATAGGGCTATTCTGGCATCAATAGAGAACTACCTCAACATCTTTTATGACTCTTTCATTCACCTTTCTTTGGACCATCCATTATATTAATAAATCCATTTCTATCAACTCTGGCTATGAGGGCCACACCCACCTCCTTTGACTTCTGATTTTAATAGCACAGCACTGATGACACCTTAGCGGTTAGCAGAAGAGGAAGTGCAGATCTTCACTGTATGAACGCACCATAATCTAAGCAGTCTATTTGCAATAGACATTTAGATTAATTTGGGGATAAACAATGTAGCAATGGACTCCATTGCCTAGTTATTTCTTAGGACTAAATTTCTAGAAGTAAGATTGCTAGTTAAAGTGTATGCACATGTTTGAGGCTTTCGATGCACAGGAACATACTTCCCTCCCCAGACGTCACACCAGTTGCCTTTCCTCTTAGTGGCCTGTGAAGGTGAGAGACCAGACTCCATGAGGATAGGAAGTGCAAGTCCCAGATTCCCCACACTGCTCTGCCAAGTCCAGGGACATCATCTGGAAATCCCCAGAGGCATCAGCACATGGAGCACATCCCACGCAGGGCATGCAGGGGAAATGTGATCATACCCTGTGAACATACCCAGAGACAGCGAGGAAGACTTTGGGCACAGGAGCCAGCCTCGGAGATGGGGAGTTGGGGAAAGGACAGACAGACAGAGCTCCAACTTCTTTTTTTTTTTTTTTTTTTGAGATGGAGTTTTGCTCTTGTTGCCCAGGCTGGAGTGCAATGGTGCGATCTCGGCTCATTGCAACCTCTGCCTCCCAGGTTCAAGCAATTCTCCTGCCTCAGCCTCCCGAGTAGCTGGGATTACAGGCATGCGCCACCACGCCCGGCTAATTTTGTATTTTTAGTAGAGATGGGGTTTCTCCATGTTGGTCAGGCTGGTCTCGAACTCCCGACCTCAGGTGATCCGCCTGCCTCGGCCTCCCAAAGTGCTGAGATTACAGGCGTGAGCCACTGCGCTCGGCCTCAACTTCTTACAGAATAATCAGAAGCAGGGAGTGGAAGGCAGTGAGTGACGGGGGAACCATGAGGCCCTCTTTGTCTTGCAGGAAGTATCCCTCCACTGAGTGGGACATATGGTGACAAGAGGAGCTACGTGGGACAGTGACAAATACCTGGTTCAGGAATCCACCCCCTGGAAGCTGCTTTCCCCCACTCCCCACCTGCTGTGAGATATTGGGAAAGGGCTTCGCTTCTCTGGGCCTCCGCTCTTCCATCCGATTTGCCTTGCCCCTCAGCTGAGATCATCTTAATTCTGTGATTTCAGAACCAGCCTGAAGACCAGGGCAGACAGGTCTCCACTCCATCCCTGTCTGTTAACCAGGTCATTCACCTTTCTATGGACCATCCATTATATTAATAAATCCATTTCTATCAACTCTGGCTATGAGGGCCACACCCACCTTCTTTGACTTCTGATTTTAATAGCACAGCACTGATGACACCTTAGCGGTTAGCAGAAGAGCAAGTGCAGATCTTCAATGGAACGTAAAGAATGTGCTTTTCAAATTCAGCTTCAGCTCAGCCTTTACTGAAAGTCCCTGTCACTGCTGGCATCTCTCACCCACCTGCATTATAAATGGGGTCTTTCCCATTTTGCAATTGGGAAAACCAAGGCTCAGAGTTTACATTTTAGTCAACTAACTCCAGTGGTAAAAGGCAGAGACGGGATTCCATCTCTGCTTTTTTTGACTCTAAGTTCATCTCTTTTGACATCCTCCACTGTCTCTCCAAACCCTTCAGAAGAGCCTGGGAGATTGCACCGGTGGGTATTCTTTATGCTCAAAAATATAAATTCTCTAGTGCAGGGATGAGATCATATTGAAAGAGCATGAAGCCACCTGGGTTTCTCGGATTGGTCATGCTTGGCTCAGAGACCTTGAAGCCAATTAACATGTCTCTCCCTACCCTTTATCATCCATAAAATAAGCAGTGAGAGAATTAATTAGCAATATCTGGCAAACTCTGCTCTTTATCATTCATACATCACTTCTAATCTAATAAGTAAGCAGTTAACCTCCTTTTCTCCTTCCAAGAACCCACATCTGTTGACTTGGCTTTCAAATAGGTATGAGTAAGCTTCTGTGATCCTTCACCCTAAAACATATCCCAAGCCCCAAACCTCCCCTTGGTCCCAGGTGCTCCTTGGTGCCTGGGGGTAATCAGGTCCTGGTGATGCCACGACTTGTTTTCTCCGGGCCCCTGCCCAACCCTAAGCAAGCATGTTGCAGAAGCAAGATGTGCCAACTAAGCATGGGTCAGGACAAATCTCAGCCTGACCCTAAAGACTACCTCCATCCTCAAAGTAAATGGGGTTAAGGGGGAAGAAGTCAACCAGCCAGGTGCCGGGGAGTTACGGCTTTCAGGTGCAGGTTTTCCAGGCCCCTAGGTGATGCTAGGTGCTGCAGTGGAATGGGTGGATGAGCAGAGGAGGATGACACACACACGGAGTAGAACACACCACACACACACACACACACACACACGCAGTGGAATGGGTGGATGAGCAGAGGATGACACACACACGGAGTAGAACACACACCACACACACCACACACACACACACACACGCGCACGCACACACACACACACACACAGGGGAGAAAGGAGGAATGCTAAGGAAATGCCCTGTGATCATGCCCTGAGGGAGTGAGGAAGGGCTTGGGCACAGGAGCCAGCCTCAGAGACGGCCTGAATAGGATGAGAGGGCTGACTCTGCTGAGCCAGGAACGACACCTACACTCCACCTTCATAGGAATCAGAAAAGCACCCACTCTCAGTGTTAGAAGCTTGCACCACCCCCCACACCAAAAAATCCCCTCAAGGCCCTGATTCCCTTGGGCTCTAAAACAAACAAAAAAGCTAATGGGTTTCCCAGGAAGCCATGTGGTAGGATGGATATCACAGAAAACTATGGTTGCGAGAACTTCCCTTGGGCCCATGCGCAGAACAGGAAGTCAGGCAGTGAGTGGGCTCCCAGGAAGTTAATATACACTATGGACAGGTAGCAAGTTATGGACAGATAGCAAGATAGCCAGTTAATATACTCTATGGATGACCCAGCAAGTTTGCTGTTTCAGAATCCTCCTCTTCTGTTTTTTGAACTTTCGAAAACAAAAGATATGCTGGGAGACGCGGCCCCTAGAGTGTGCTTACTCCAGGTCCTTGATTGTCCAGACTGTGGAGGGGGAAGGGCAGATCTATGCCAAGAGGGGAACAGGCTGTAGAGGCCACAGCTGATTCATTTTTGTGACCTTAGCACTCTGCCCAGCACCTGGAATATAGTAGGTGCTCCATAAACCTGTGTTCAAGGAGAGAATCTGTCCATAGCATATGTATTAATGGGACCTTTATAGTCAATGGACATCCTTAGAAATCACATACCCATCGTTGGCTGGTGGTTGAGAAAAAAAGGTAAAAAATGAGATACACCCTTCTACATGTTTGGCCTCCAATATGGGGCCGGGCTGGGCCTCGAGAAGGAGACCGCAGGACCTCACCAGCAAGGCATCGTGTCCTCTTTGTGTCCTGAGATGCCTTCTCACTAAGCCTCTTTCCAGACCTTTGGTCCTGGGGATCTGCAGTGAGCAGAGAGGCAGCTCCTTGCGGGTGAAACCCAGCACCGGCCTGCAAGGCCAAGCCTCCCCATGCCAACACAGCTTATTTCCTCTTTCACTACCTCACTCCCTAGTGGAAAAAACAAGAAAACAAAATTCCCCTGAGCAATCTGAAACCCTGTGACCCCCTGGCCAAGTGGCAGATCCAGCTCCACCTTGATCCCCTCCACTTTCCTCTGGCTCACCTATACTTAAGCGCAGAGGCCAGCCTCGAGGTTATTTATAACTGTGTCAGAGGAGGAGGAGGCAGGAAATAGGAAATTATGCAGGAGGGGGCGAGGAGTAGCTGCAGGGGCCAAGTGACCCCGCTGGCTGGCTTGAAATCCACTACCTGCCTGGCCCGTGGCTTCAGAGCCCCATGACAGGGAATTCTTACCCAGACTGGATTCCTCCTGGTCTCTGAGCCCTACCTGCGAATCTCTTGCCAGTCACTTCCCCTTCTCCAGATCCAGGTGGAAGCAGTTTTATCCTGAGACTTTCCCCCTAGGCCGGCCACAGTGACATCAGCTTTTCTGACTGCAGTTAATGGTGCAAGAGCTGGAGGCCAAGCAGGAGGCCCAGCGCCGGAGGGGAGACAAACACCCAGCCCTGGGAGCAAATGGGGTGGCGGCAAACACACGGCCTTTTAAGTCCACCAGCCCTATCCTTCTGTTTCCTTTCCTCCTTTAAATACTCTGAAAGCGAGAGTCTGAATAGTGACTACTTGAGAACCCAAGACTTCTCCTTAACTTCATCCAGAGGACTCAAAGGGAAGGCCACTCAACCAGAATCACACAGCAGAAGGAGCAGAGCCAGGCCTGGGGTCCCATTTTCTGGAGGCACTGGCCCCTTTTTCTACACTACCATGCTGCCCCCAGCCCCTGGGCTAACTAAGACTCCCCCATTCTAAATGTGAGTGCCCCTGATGGACCGCATAGGCTGGATGTGCCCGTCCTTGCTTTGCCCAGCAGAGCCATGTCCATAAAGATGGCATCCCACGTCAAATCCTGTAGACTACTGCAAAATATCCATCAGCCAATTTCTTCACCAAAACGCTCTGAGCAGCCACTGAACTGGCAGTGCCATTAATTTTCAGACAATTTCAGACTAAGTTAGGTTACCTTTTTGGGGGGATTTTGTTGCTGTTTAGTTTCAACACCATTATTGACTCAGTGATACTCTAGGGCAAGTGTTCTAATGATCCAAGATAGCTTTTAGGAGAATTTCTGAAGCTCTTGAAATTTGTATGCATAGCTTTAATCAGAATCCCAAAGGTGCTCCTATCGGTAAAATGATTAGGTAGGACGGTGATGTAAGAGAAGTATAGAACAGAGAGGGGAGAGATCTGGCCCAGACGACCAGGGGACCAGGGTGGGGTTGCACCGGTATGTCCCCTACTGTTCATTACCTGCTCGCAGGGTGCCTGCCCCATGGACCTTCAATCAGAAACATCTCACCTTCACACTCACCACAATGTCCTTCAATCATGTCCTTAACGGTATAAACAAGATCCTAGGATTTAAAAATCTGATGTGTGCCCAGAACTGAGCCAAGCAAGATTATAAAACAAGTCATGACCACAGGAAGGAACTTTAAATCTGGCAAATGTGTGACCTTGAAGGTCAGCCTTCCCTTCCTCCTTTTTCTTCTGGTCCCTACAAAGCACCCACTGGCACCACTACAGCCATTTCTGTTTGGCAACCCTAGGAGAGCAGCTTCCCTGTGTAATGCAGATGATACTTCCTAATTTCTTCTTCCCTACTCAGCAATCACAATGGCAGGCAAGTGGGCAAAAGGGGTTTTCAGAATCCTCATCTGGGCAGTGTCTCACCAACTGCATTTGTAGGTGCTTCTTGGGAAAATTAGTTCCTTGGCTAGATATGTTCAGAGAACACTGGATTAAACAGAGCTAAACAGGTCACCATGCAGCAGGACTTCTCAGAGCTTTTACTATGCTAATAGCCACATGTCTCTCCAAGAGGGGAATACAATAAACAGCTCTCCCAAATAACATTTTTTTTTTTTTGAGATAGAGTCTTGCTCTGTCACCCTGGCTGGAGTGCAGTGGTACAATCATGGCTCACTGCAGCCTCAACCTCGTGGACTCAAGCGATTCTCCCACCTAAGCCTCAAGAGTAACTGGGACTACAGGCCCAACCACCTTTTCTTTTTTTTTTTTTTAAATTAGTAGAGACAGGGAATCTTACTATGTGACCCAGACTGGTCTTCAATTCCTGGGCTCAAGCGATCCTCTCGCCTCAGCCTCCCAAGGTGGGGTTATATGCGTGAGCCGCTGTGCCCGGCTCCAAAGAACATTTCTTAAGATTGGTGGTGCAAGGATCACACCTTGAGAAACACTGATTTAGGCCTTCCCACAGTACAAAGAAATGTTGCCTGCCCCATCCTTACAGCACACCTGATGACTTACAAGAGGTGCTGCTGAATTCCTCCCAGGGAAGCGACCTTAATTCTTCTCAGCAAGACAAGGAGGCAGCCTTCAGGAAGGACCCAGGAGCTTGGTATTAGAGGATGATCCAAGTCTGATGGCAAATTTAGAGTGCTCCAGGGAACACTGAAGTCTTGATGATAGGGCAAAAGGGAGTGATTCCATCTTTCTAACCTGGCAGGATAGCAGGTAACAAGACAGAAATAAGGAAAAAGCAAGCTGAACTTGTCTTTCCCTGACATTTGAACTGCCTGCTGTTCTCCTCACCAAAAATAAAAAAGCTGGTCTCAAGACAACAAAAGTAGAGAAGTAAAGGTAACAGAGGTCTCCAGCCTGCAGGAAGACTCATATAACCTCAGTCCAAAGTTCTTTTTATACAAAGCACAGATTTTTACTGGCTAAGTGCTCACCCAATGACCCATTTTCAGTATTTGTTTATTCCTGTATTTCACCCATGTTTATCGAGCACCTACTGAGTGTGTGGCCCGTAGTCAGGAATGCCCATCAATTACCAGGCAGCAAGGCTATTCTTAGTTTTCTGATGTCTATTTAAAGAGTGTTAATCCTCTGGCCTCCCCCCTACCCCCGCCCCTGCAATTAGACACATACCACTTTCCAACCTGGTACACTGACCTCGCCCAACTGGGAAGGCGGAATGGACAAGTGTTCTTCCCACCCTGCTTAACTTGGCCAAGAATCTGGCTTCATGGGTTAGGGCAGCCTGGGAACCAGCCAAGCCAGAGGAGACGAGCCTGCTTTGCCTGGGCCCTTCAATCAGTGCTGGGGTCAAAAACCTCCCTGTTCTGTTCCTTACTAGTGGCACAGTAAGGCAGAAAGTGTTGAGACTCAAGAGCAGAAAAATCCAGGCTGTCTAGTGGGGCGGTGAAGACCACAGACCACAGAACAGACACACCTGCTCAAATACTAGCTCTGCCATCATGCAGTGGGGTGACCGTGGGCAGAATTGGTGAGATTGCTCGGACTCTGGAGTCAGGAGGTCCGGCTCAAATCTGGCTTCACTATGTAGGTACATACTAGGTAAGTTACCTAGTCTCTCTCAGCTTCAGTATTTTCATCTGCAAAGTGGAATGAGGAGGACAAGGATGATAACACTAATAATTTCTGACATGTATGTTTATAGTAAAGAATAGAATTTATTACATGTATATATGTATATAAAGATCTTAAAATAGCTGTCAACAAATAGTAGCTGCTTTCATATTTAATTCCTCTTAAGTCCCAATTTTTTTCATCTGCAAAGTAGAAATAGGAGTGCCTACCTCAATGAGTGGTTATGAGAGTTTAAAGGAGATAATGCTTTAAAAGGTCTTGGCATATAAAAACAAATCAATAAATGTTAAAATATTATCAAATGGTTATTATTTTTGTTCCAGTTCCATCTCTATCTCTTAAACCAAGCTGCTGTACCTCTTTGGACCTCAGTTTCCCCATCTGTCAAGTGAGAGACCTGGATCAGATGGCTTCTCCAGTGTCACCGCACATGGGTTCCCTGCACTGGGACCCACAAGGCCTAGAAGTTACTTGCAGCAAAGCTGTCAGTAGCCTCTGAGCCTTGGTCAGCCCAAAAGTACCTCGAACAGCCCCATATCCCTGTGCACAGTTCATGAAACTAGAAATGGGGAGGGGAAGATGCCTTGCCTTTGCAAATGTTATCTTGACCTGTGCTGTAGTATTAACATGGCGGCCACTAACCACAGGTAGCTGAAACGCAACTAGTCCAAACTGAGATATGCTATGAGTGTAAAATACATAATGGATGTCAAAAACTTAATTTTAAAAATATTAAGATCTTATTAATAAGTGTAAAATTGATTACATATTGAAATGGTCATATTTTATACATATTGGGTTTAGTATTAAAATTAATTTCACTTTTTCCTCGTTTTTTTAAACATGACTATGGGAAAATTCAAAATTGCATACATGGCTCACGTGTAGCCACAATCCTGTTTCTCCTGAGCAATATCAATCTAGTTTTTTTCCCTTTCTGTCTCCCCGCTTGTGAGCCACCCAGTAAGAAACTCTTCTCAGAGGGATACCAGAAGGAATTCGAACTATTTGTAATTAACTTTTTGAAACAAAATAAAATCCAGATGTTAACTATCCAGGTGGAGCATTCTATTTTAGCAGCCTCCAGGAATCTCCTCTGGCTTAAAGGAGCCCTGAATAAATAAAATCTATCCAGCTGCCAAAGCACCCCATGATGTTACCATATTTATCAGCACCTGAAGTTCTAAATCTCCACTCTGGTCAAGCCATCTCTTGTCTTTCTCCGTTAGAAAAAGATGGGCAGTGGTTTCTGTTTTATTTTCCAAGGTACTTGCCACTGTTTAATACGGTAGCTTAGCAGTTAGGAATGGCCTTTTCTCATTAAGCTCAGCTCCCAATGTTTCAAACCAATCTCTTTCTTTCTTTCTTTCTTTCTCTCTTTCTTTCTCTTTCTTTCTTTCTTTCTTTCTGTCTCTCTCTCTCTCTCCTTCCTTCCTTCCCTCTCTCCCTCTCTCCCTCCCTCCCTCTTTCTTTCTTTCCTTCTTTCTTTCTTTTTTTTTCTTTCTTTCCTTTCTTTGTTTTCTTTCTTTCTTTCTTTCTTTCTTTTCTTTCTTTCTCTTTCTCTCTCTCTCTCTCTCTCTCTCTCACACACACACACACACACACACACACACACACACGAGTATTGCCTGGAAAGGCTGGAATGCTGTCTTTCTCAAATGTTCTTATTCATTCATGATACTTTTATTGAATGCCTACTAACATCAGGCAATGAGCTGGTGAGCAAGACTTGGCTCCCATCTAAGGGGAGGCAGTAATACCATGTAGTAATAATATGATGGCTGACATTTATCAGGTCCTTACTACATGCCAGGCAATGAGCCAGGCCTTTTATTTCCATTGTGTCTGTGAATTCTTCCACAACCTATGAGGTTAAGAGTACTATTATTGCATACTCCATTTTACAGATAGGAAAAATGAGACCAGGGAATTAACTTGTCCAGGGACAGGCAACTAGCCATGAACGAGGCCAAGGTTTGAGCCAAGTGGTCTAACTCCAGAACCTGTGCTCCAGCTCAGAAAGTGTGGGAAATGCAGGACACATTTTGCCAAAAAAAAAAAAATTGGGTGTTACTCACTCAGAGATCCGAGAATTGAAAGGAGATTCTAGAAATAAAATGGATTCCAGATCACAAAACTGGTGACCCACAAGGCTGAATCTGGCCCATGGACATGTTTTGTTTGGTCCACGTGTGTGTGTGTGTGTGTGTGTGTGTGTGTGTGTGTGTGTGTGTGTGTGTATCTTTTCAGAAGATGTTACATTAAAAATTTGGATTTCTTGCTTGTCCTAAGAGACTGGAAATCTGGCATCACTAGACTCACATCCTGATAGGCTGGAGCTGGACAGCAGCTGTCCCCTCCAGAAGGGACCTGGACTGTACGGTTCACCACAGTTACTGCCACTCTCTATTGTCTCCCCAACTCCAAAGCCAAAGCTCAGATGCTGTTTATCATCACACTTGCCCACTGTTTTATTGCTTGTCTTATAATAAAGAAATCATTTTTAGTACCTGTTTAGCTCTCCAAAATGGAAACCAAGAGAATGGGGAACCATAAACATATTTGGTAGGAGTGAGTAATATTCCAATATGTCTGATACTCAAATATCCAGCTTCTGTGCCTGGTCCCTGTAGGCACTGGGTTTGTGACATGGCATGGATGACAAGTGAGGAAATCCAGGCCAAAAGAGAATCAGCCAAAGAAGGAACTGGAACCCACACCCACCTTCCCACCTTAAGTATAAGCTTTTTATCCACTGCACTCATTTGTTCAGAACTGCACCCTGGAGACCAACCTGGATTCTGAGATTCTTGGATCTCTCAGTCCTTGCAGTGGTGAAGTTTGACCTTCCAAACTTCCTCAGGATCTTTGGAGCTTTCTATCCTGTCACTGGGGTTTCTCCCTGTCAGGGGAGCAGATAGTGACTGCCCAATGGGGCACACGTTTGATCTAAGTCTTCCAAATACCCTCCTCATTCACTTAAACAAAGGTTCCATCAGATCACACATGTGTTCATCTGAGCCAGACTTCCATGAGAGAAGTCCTCTCAGCAACAGAAAATGTTTGAGCCGAGCCATGAACCACATTTTCCAGAGTGAGGCACTGCTCAGGTAGGCTGTGGATAAGGAAAGCCTTATTTTGATGAGTATTGAGTCTTAATCCCATTTCTTGTCTATCAGCTTCTTCAGTGGTGTTAATGAGGTTCAATTTTTACCAAGCCCTCCCACAATCAGTGACAGGCCCTGAAGTGACCTTGAGTCTTAATTCTAGCCATCGACTAAGTCTGCAAGGTTGCTGTCTGTTTGGCAAATCAGCCCTGCTCCAACAGAAGTTTGGTGGTCAAATATGTCATCTGATAAAGTATCTCAGCTCACTAGAGGTTTTGTTCAGAGCCCGCATCCACTTTTGCAACCACAGAAATCCTGGCTCTTACCTTAATAGACCATATTTCTAACAAAGTTACCTACTGAAGGGTGTGGTTGACAGATTTAGGTGCTGAGTTATTCAGCTAAAGTAGAGAGCCCTTTCCAAGGGAACTTAGAGCCAGAAAAACTTGACCATAGTAGGCATTCAGTGAAATACACACCACATAGAGCCAATATCCTGCTGTTTTACAGATAAGAGACCAAACCCAGGGAGGTCAGTATCACCAAGGGGACTCCAGAGTCAGATGATGAACTAGGACTAGACCTTAGGCCTCCTAACTCCAGCCAGTGCTCCTCCTCCATGCCACACTGCACCTCCTAGCCCTGGCAGTGGATAGGGGAGCGGTTGCTGACTCTTCAGCCAAGTTCATTGTCACCATTCCATTTCTAGGGCCCTCTCTTTGGCTACCCTAGTGACTTCTACCTCTGCTTATCAATGGGAGCTGTCTAAAGAGGGAAGGGCAGCACCAGATCCTTGACAAGTGTTGGGCTTGCCCTCAGAAGACATGGGTTCCAATCCCATTCCATGTATTGGCTATATGGCTAAGCCACAGAACCCCGCCATTCTCAATACTGACATCCACTAACTAGGAACTATGACCGACCCCCCAATCACCATCCTGCTTTCCTCGTTGCGAAGTTGTCATCAAATGAGATCAAATGGACTTAAGACTCTAAAATGTGAAGAGTTGTGAAAATAGAGTAGGAACTTTGTTGTTTCTTTCTCTGCCCTGTGGGAAGCACTGTGACAAAATGGAACACATTAGATTTGGAGGCGGGGGGATCAAACCACGATTTTGAATTGAAACTCAGCTCTCTCTATATGACCCTGGAAAACATCACATCACACCACAGAGCGCCATTTTCCTCACCGAAAGTGAAGTGAGAATATCAGCTCTGCTCTATAACAACACTACTACTAAAAGCTCATGCTTATTCTTATTGAGCTATTCTGTGCCAAGAATCAGTCTCTTGTATAGACTAAGGGCTACAACTTTTTAGACTTGGGAAGATTCTACCCATTTTGCGACCTCTCCACCTGAGTCTTTGGCTCCCCACTTTTGGGGCCCCCCTCAGTCTGCTTATCTTTGATTTTCTTCCTCTCCAGACATGCCTTCCCTGCTGCCCCCAAATTTTATTACCGTATAGTCAGTTCTGGGATCCTAACATAACCAAGCCTTACCTCCTAACCCAGTGCCCTTTCAACTGTCTCAGTGGTTCCCAGCCTTTTCAACACTAAGGAATATTTAGTGCTAAACATTCCATGAAGTATTTCACTTAATTGCCAATGAAGTTACCACGTGGTACATAATATATTTCCCCCCATTTTAGAGATGAGGAAACTGAGGCAAAGAACCTGCCCAAGCTTGGGAGTAGCAGAGCTCACTAGAGCTATCATGTTTCCAAATCGAAAAGGCAGGGAGCTTATTCATGATGATAAAGTCTAAGTCAAAAGGGAGCCCTTCCTAAATACATGAGATGCAAACACCTTAGTCAAACACCTCAAGTCACGAAACCAAGTCTTCATGAAATCTGACCCTGGTTGCGAAACTCACCATCCCCACATCCTAATCCAGGCATTGCAGGAGCTCTGAAGTTTCTGAATGAAACAGCTCTTCTCTGCAGGCAGCCAGGCGGCCCTGTGCCTGACACCCTCATGGGCAGAGGCAGAGGGGATAATTACCATGTAGTATTTAAGATCTCTAGTTCCGGAATGGCTCTTGGAGGCTTGGTCAGCTCAGGACTTCCCCTCTCCACTCCCCAGTACCCACCCCCCGCCCAATCATCTAGGGCTCTGTTTTTCCACTAACTGAACTTTACCTTGGGCTCTCTGAGGCCAGATCGTACAGCTTTCCTTCCCTTCCCCACCCCCACAAAAAGCCAGGTGGCTGCAGGCTTGGAAACACTTATAGTTTCTTGTCTCCAAGCCGTGAATGCCACCATTAGGTGATCGGATTTACATGAACATAAATCAGACTTGAGTGTTGGGTAGTGTGGACTGTCCCTTCTGTGACAGCAAAGCCATCCTAGCCACACAGATGGCCTCTAAATGGGTCAGGAAAGGTTCTCTGGGGCCCCTCTGAAGCTACAAACACTAATTTTTTAACAGCTGAACAAAAAGACCTCTTAGTTCCACTGCAGCCCACATAGACACCTGTGGGCCTCCTGTCAAACAGTATTTAGTAAGTCCCTTTAGCTAGAATCAATACTTTGTGTACCCCTGGATGCCAGACATGAACATAGGAAAATATCTGAACCCATGTCACCTCCTCTGAAAGGATAGGGACCTCAACTAGGACACATCAGTTACCTGCTGTCTATCCCAGGCATGGTGGCAGCACTGTGGGTAACAGGGAGAAGTGACAATGGCAGTAAATGCATGGGACCTGCCCACAGGGAGAAGAGATGCTAAGCTGGCATGAAACTAAAGATTCTCAGGAGGGGCAAAGGACAGCGATATACCAAAGAAGCCAGGAGCTATTTTAGGCATATCAGTAAGCCAACCCAAATCCGACAATGCAATCACCCAGGAACCCATGAGAAAACTTCCCAGGCTTATGAAAACACCAACCGTCCTTGCTTTCGGCTATAATTAATTAGTATATTAGCTGATTGTGTCAGAATAATGACTGGCTAGTATCAGCAGTTCTAGTTATATTTTAATTTGTTTTTTAATGGAAAGTTAATCAACACTCAACACATGAAATTGTGTCGGATAACTGTTCCAAACACAGAACTTATTGGAGGGAAAAATTAATTTTAAAAAATTCCATAGTGTTGAAAAGTCTGGGAACCACTGAGAGAGTTGAAAGGGCACTGGGTTAGGAGGTAAGGCTTGGTTATGTTAGGATCCCAGAACTGACTATACAGTAATAAAATTTGGGGGCAGCAGGGAAGGCATGTCTGGAGAGGAAGAAAACCAAAGATAAGCAGACTGACGGGGACCCCAACAGTGGGGAGCCAAAGACTCATGTGGAGAGGTCGCAAAATGGGTAGAATCTTCCCAAGTCTAAAAAGTTGTAGCCCTTGGTCTATATGAGAGACTGATTGGAAACACAGGTTTTGGAGATAGGCTAAGCAAGTATAGGTTGCAAGTGGTGTGAGCTTGGGCAAGCCATTTGGCTTCCCTAGCCTGAGACAGCTCATCAGGCAGCTGGGATGACTGATAGGCAAGTAAGGAGCTTGGTACAGTGCCTGGCACATAGTAAGGGCACCAAACTTACTATGAAAATTACAGTATTATGTTTGTGATCTCCTGCAGGGTTGGCATTTAGAAATCTCCACTTTCTTCTCTGGGAGGGTGCTAGGGTATCATGTCCACCAGAAGACAGGACTAGACTTATCAAGTAATGCAGAGAGCATAGTGGGTGCTTACCCTCTAAAGTGGGTTAGGTTTATCCCTCTGGGTGGCACGCAGCCCTAAGTTCTTTCTCCCAGCGCAGGAATGATCCCCTCTGGGAGTTTCCCATGCAGCTTTGGAGAATTTGGGTTTTACTAGAGATGGTGTTTTTCAGCATGCTTAAAATATGGGCAAGGTTTATGACTGTTCGTCTGTACCAATGCCAAGGAGTGATCAGGGAAAGGAACCAAAGGAGACCTAGAGAATGAGAAGTTAATGAGGACTGTTCAAAACCGAGGGGGTGTCATGGGCCAAGAGCCAGAGAGACAGAGTATGAACAGCTGGAGCAGGACAGACCAGTGATGAGACTATGAGGATGAGGTAGGCAGGGTCCACACTGGCCCTTGTAAAAGCCATTTGATGATACTTTATCCTAAGAGTCCACTGAAGAGCTTTCATCAGAACAGGAATTCTTTCCTAAACCAGGCCTTCTAGCTCCCATAATAATGAGACCCCAGCGTCCTTCTTGGCTGGGGTCCACCCAGCCTCCCTCTCGGCAGTCCATCCTCCTCCTTGTGACCATCCCACTGCTCTCACCCAAGTGCCATCCATAGGCAACAAGAAGGGAGACAGATGAGTGAGTGCCCTTGCTGCCACCATGAGCCTGGCCAGCGGACAGCTTTGAGTCAGAAAGCAAAACCCTGTGTATGTGTGTTCAAAACACAGCCACATATACCTTTGAACCTGAGTCCATGTAAGTCCTCAAAGTCAAACAACTTGGTGTAATAAATGGTCCACTGCTTATTCTGAAAGCAAAATAAATACATAAAGCTATCTTCAACCGAATTACTCCAGCATGCAACAAGTCAAGGGTCACAGCTTTCCTGGCATTGCAGCCTTCCTCTCCCTATGAAAATACTCCCATTAACTTGATCTTCGTGGCCCTAATTTTGCTCCCTTTCAAAGAGACAAAAAGAAGGAAAAAAAACACTCAGTAAGTCAATAAAAATTATAAATTGTTTTTCTATTTGAGAGAAGCATGGGAGTCTCTTAAGCACAGGGCTCTAACATTCCTCCATCCCCTCATGTTGCATATATGAAAAGAACTGTGTTAACACAGCCACTGTGGAGGCCAAATTGGCAGGAACTATTAAAATTGAAAATGCATATTATATAATTATAATAATATAAGAGTATGTAGTAGTATATATAATATGATATGGTATAATGTGACCTATAGTATAGTTGTTAAATATATTTTAGAGCCAGGGTGAAGGGGCTTAAATACAGGCTGTATTCCTTGCTAGCAGTATAACCTTAAACGAGTTACCTCATTTTTCTAAGCCTCAGTTTCCTCAGCTGTAAAATGGAGATGACAATAGCACACCTCCCTCATAAAACTGAGAGAATTAAATGAGTTAATGTAAGTTAATGACTTAGAATAATGCCTGGCACATAGTAATCACTCTATACTTATTAGCTGTTTAAAATTATAACCTCATGAAATACATAAAAGAAATATATATATTATATATATAATATATATGTAAATATAATATATATATATTATATATAATATATATTATATATAATATATATTATATATTATATATTTATATATTATATATAAATTATATATTTATATATTATATATTTATATATATATATCCTCCAAACCATCAATCCACAGTAATAAAAGGACTTGGTTTGTCTCACTGTGGCCAGGGAGAAGTAAAGTTAATAGAGACAAGACATTTCAAGGTTCCAAGACTCTTCCCTTAAAGGTGGGGATGAGTTAGGGGTCCCCAGGGGGAGCTACCCAGTCTGCCAATGTGGTGGGAGGAAAGCCAGGGGGGCAGTCAGGAGACTGGGTCCCAGCTGGAGAAGGTGCTCCTCTGACAGTTTTATATATATATTAAGTAGAAAGATCTCTAGTACGCATTGTTGAATGGGAAACAAGCAGAATACTATATGTGGTATTATGTGGTATTCCATGATGTTTAATGTTCTACTATTCATGTTTCTAAGGGAAAAACTACTATAAATTTGCTATGGATACCTATGTATGTAAATGTATAGGAAGAAAAGGATTTGGAGAAGGGACTAGAGTTAGAAAAAGTAATCAGAAAGGATTTTACTCTTCTCCGATTTTAGATAGAGAGATAGATAGATAGATGATAAATGATAAATAGAAATGGATATATCATAGATATACAGAGAGATACATACATGGACATAGAATGTATTCATATACTTGTAGCTTTTAAAATATAGATAAAACAGGCCAAGATGGTACAAATTGTTATTCCCCTTGTATAAATAAGAAAACTAAAGCTCAAAGGTAGCCCATATGTGCCTAGGCACACACAGCCAACAAGCCCCAGAGGAAGGAGTGGAGCTCAGATCTGCCCTCCCCATTGCCTTTCCACCACTCCACCCTGCCTCTCAAGGCCACCCAGGAGTAGACTATGACAAAAGGTAGAAGAAGGGGCCTCCTTGTCCATACTGGCTGGAATGGTAAAAGCCAAGTGCGATGGAGAATCGTGTTGTTGTTTTTGTTTTTAATTAATGAACCTGTTGGAATGTGCCATTCAGCAGTGGAGCTGAATGGTTCCTGCTGTTCATGCAAAACAAACAAAAATCCCTCCACCCAAGCTACTTCTGTGGCCACTTTTCTAGCCTTATCTATCCAGGGACTGTGAAAGGGACACAGAACTGTCAGAGGGGCACCTTCTCCAGCTGGGACCCAGTCTCCTGACTCCCCCTGGCTTTCCTCCTACCACACTGGCAGACCGGGTACCTCCCACTGGGGAGCCCTAACTGATCCCACCTTTAAGGGAAGAGTCTTGAAGCCCTGAAATGTCTTGTCTCTATTAACCTTACTTCTCCTTGGGCCACAGTGAGACAAACCAAGTCCTTTTATTACTGTGGCTTGATGGTTTCAAGGGTCTTTTCCAGATCTAATAGCCAAAGAACATTAGAATTTTCCTCTATGATACACTAGAATAATAATAAGCTCTCCCTCCCTAAAGATGATGTTTAATTAAAACCTCTGGCCATTTTGGCTATCTTCATATTTTTAAAGAAAACCCAGATGTAGAAGAAAAGCATTCTTCAAATGTTAACCATCCATTCCATCTCCTGGTCACCTTAGAATGTCATGTGTCAATGAAAGTTGAAAGGTTTTTGAAGCATGGTATAACTGATAATACGTTTTAGCTTTATCATTTAGCAACTGGGTGGCCTTGGACAAGCACAGTCTCTTCAGCCTCAGTGTTTTCCATCTGAAAAATGGGTGCAATACCTACTCTTAAGGTTGCTGTGGGGGGTCGGGGGAGGGGGTGAAAGAGATGGCATTTGGGAAGTGCGTGCAACCAGGAGGGGCCTAAGACATGTCTCTTCCCTCCTCCAGCTGGATAGCAGCTCTCCTCCTTCCATGGTTCCAAGACATCCACAGCCTGGGTCCCCCAGACTTGCCCTACCAAGTGCTGGCGCCTCTCCAAAGTCTGATTCTTTCTATTTTCCTTAAGTTGCAAAGCCCAGTGTTGAGGTGTAATTGTGTGTAAGAGGGAGAGGGGATGGATCTGGTTTCTTTGAAAATGGCTTCTTTGCTAAAACGACAACCTCAGATCTGATACTGAAAGAATCTGCTGGCACTGGCCCCTGTCAGAACAATTTGGAGCTATCCAGGGGCCATCCTCTGGGGCTGGCAGCCGGCCCCCCAGCTGAGCCTCATGCTCAAATTCCCAACAGGCTCAGAGGCAGGCCCCGAACACACTTCATCCTACAGCCCCATTCCTCCCATGCAAAGGCGGCAAGAGAGAAGGAGAGAAGGGCTTGGCATTCTGAAGCAAAATTCTCTTTCTCTGCTGCAACCCCCCTCAGCCCTGCCAGCCACCTTTGCAGAAGCCACACACGCGCACACACACACACACGCACACACGCACATTTTCAGAAAGCCCTTGGCACAGCCCACCCCTTCCTGAGCTGGACAGAGCTGCCAGGGCAGATTTGCCCGGGCCGAGGCCGCCTTCTTCATCTCCAGCCCCCTCCCATTCCTCTTCTAGAGTCAAGGTTTTGTCAGGAGTTTCAGGGGCAATGACTGGCCAGGGAGGGGGACCACAGACATCCTGCCTGCTGCCAAGTCCCTTTCTTTCCCCCACAGTGTGTCTTATAAGCCGGCATGTAGTTTATTCTTCTCCTAAACACTTCCATAGGGTGCAGGGCCTGGAGTTGCCATAGAAACACCTTTTAACTCCTCCTCCCCCAGAATGCCATGCCAGGCCCTAGGACTTTGGGGAAAAAAGACAAAAAGAGACACCTGTGGATGAGCAGAGACAGGAGGAAAGGCCATCGGGCAGCCCCCCGGAGAGGACCAGGCCAGGCCTCCTGTGCCTTTTGCTAGGCCAACATGGCACCAAGCCATGAAGAGAAAACCACCATGATGGTTTTAAAACAGGAAGTTGATGGGCTGATGTGAACACCTTTAGGGGGCTACAAAGTTGACTGGTGGGGTTGTGTGGGTCCCAAGGAATGGGGAGCTCCTTCATATTTGTTTGAGGGCGAGAATAGACAGTTTCAACCCAGACTGGAAACCAGAAAGGCTCTGAGCAATGAAACTTGGGAGCCAAGTACTGGACGCCAGCAGGGTGCTGTGCAAGGCGAGGGAGGTCGGCAGGCAAGCAGCTCACACCCACACCTCCCATTTTAAAAGCATTAGCTCATCCCTGCCACTAGTGCAGCTCACCAAACCCAGGCAGAACAATTTGGGATCCGTGCCAGAGCATCGAAGATTTTTTGTTTCTTTTTTTCTTTTTGATTCCACAATCTCCTGGTCTTTGGCTACTTCCTGGTAACTTAGATTTTCTCTGAGAAATTTATGAAGAGGAGCGAGGGAGCTATTTCTTGTTTCAATCCAGAGAAATTGTAAGAAACTTTCTGCATTGCTCAGACCCACCGCAGGAAACCTAAGCAGTAAGCAGACGGGAAGGCCCCCATTGGAAGCAGGATCTACTCATGCTTGTTTTCACTTTTCCGTGGTCAATTTTTAGGGTAGAAACCCCAAAGCAAAGGGCAAGGGGGAAGAATGGGGACCTACTCCCACTACATACCAAAAAAACGCAAGTGAAGTCACCCAGCCCATTTTCCAGCAGAAAAGGACTTGGGCTGCACCCCTGCACACCCTGATTCCACCTGCCAGCCTCCTGGCCGCACGTGTGTGATCCTGCTGGGCAAAACCAGAACTCAGCTGCAGCAGCAACTCCCCACACTAATCAGGTGGGAATGTTACCAACTGGGATGAGGAGGGAAAGGGTAAGTGGAATGTGGGTGGAGGTGGAGGAGGGAGGAAAACCCTCCCCAGTCTTCAGGCTGCCCAAAAGGATCTTTCTAAGCAATCCACAAATCCTGGGCCAGCTGGGTTCCCCCAGGAGAGGGGAGGATGTACCATGCAGGCCCCAGGGAGCCTCTTACAAGGGTGACCTCAGGTCACACAAACACCCTCAGCTGCCAACTGCACTGACATTCTGGTCACCACACCCCCACTCTGACCTCTAGGCTCAGCCCAGCCCACCAGCAGTGCCCCTCCCGGCCCTCACTGCCTCCCCTGCCAAGCTCCTACCTCCTCCCCCTCCTCACCACAACACGCTGGTAGAGTCCCTCACCCAAGACTCAGTGGAAAATTTCCTTCTCCTTTATGACTGTACTTAAAACACACACGCTCCATTCTTCACCTCTGAATCGACACAGGCAGAGGGCGGCAAGGCTGTCCCACCCCACCGCCCAGCCCAGCCCAGTGCACACACACACACTCTCCCAGCAGAGCCACTGGACTTGCACGCTTTATGGGCTGGAAAGGAGGAGAGAGATGTTTCCCAGATGCCACTCCACCTTTAGCCATCCAAACACAAGTGTCCCAAACACTCCCAGACAAGCCTCCCAGGATGCTCTCGGGGCCCTCCATACACACTAAGGAGTAGGAGGTCTCTTTACAGGGTCTCTCTACTCAAGACACTAAGTCCAGTCTGGAACTGTCACCGTGATGTGACCCTTGGCAGGTTTGTTCTTTTGGTGACAAATCTGTTTTCCACTACCCATTCTCCCCCTCCCCACACACATTCAAGGGGGAAAAAAATAGCCTTCCTGTGAATTTTCACAGCTATGTGGTGAGTGACCCCTCGCACCTTCTGCTGGCTATCAACACTCTCAAACACAGTGCCTCCAGGGCGTGGGTCAATGCCACAGCTTTCTCCTCATTTTCCCCCTTAAATCCACCCAAACTTGGCAGTCCCAGAAGCTCGGTTAGCGCTTGCCTGGGAAGCCTGCAGCTGGGTTGGGTCTCAGTGAAAAGAATGAATTTCATAGGCGCAGGAGATGATGCAGACTCGGAGTACTCCAAGTTTCTCCTGCAACTTTCCGTGCACATGGCGGGCAACTTTTTTTTTTTTTTTTAACTATTCAATTTCCCAGCACTTTAGTTAGCATTCCAAGTTTTGGGAACCCTTTCCCCACCCTTCTCTTCTAGCCCTTCCTCCGTTAGTAGTGAATGGGGACATTTTCCAGATGTCAAAAGGACCGGTAGGAACCTCACGACCTAAGTTAGGAAAGCAAAGGCGGCCAGGGGCTCCCTCAGCCACTGTGAGTTTCCTCTGCAGGGCATCTTCCCCTCTCAGCTATGCCAGCGCCCCCGCCCAAGGACATCGAGTTTCTCCACTCCGCCCCAACCCCGTCTGCCCCTCTCCTGGGGCAGAGGAAAGGAGTGGGGCTCGCCCTGCCTCCCTAAGCAGCGCTGCAGTCCTGGCTGCAGCGTGGGGCTCGGGCGGGGCACCAGGAGCGCTTACCGATGTCGGAGTTGCAGAAGGCGTCCTGGGGGTGGCTGGGCGAGCATGTGCACGCCTCGGCGCCCCAGTCCCCCAGGCTCCAGCTGCCCAGGAGCACGATGAGCCCGAGCCAAGGGGTCATTGCCGCTGCTGCCGCCGCTGCCGGGGCTGCTGCTCGCCTCTCCAAAGTTGCCGTGCGCGCCGCCGGCGGGGCTGCTGCAGCCCGAGCTCGCTCGCCCGCCGGGCCGTGCGGGGCAACCTTGGCCTCCGGCGCGCTGCCCTCCGAGTGCCCGGCGGGACGGGATGGGGCGCAGCGAGGCTGCCTCGGCGCTGGCGCAGGACTCGGCGGGCGGCCTCCCGGCGAAGGAGCAGGAGCTGGAGGAGCAAGAGGAGGAGGAGAAGCCGTCTGAGCGCCCGCCGCCTGCCTGCTGCCCGCTCTGCGCCGCTGCCTGGGCGGCCGAGTGATATAGCGCTGGGCCCCCGGGGACCCCGCCTCGGGCTGTTGGGGCCCGCCCCCTCAGACCAATGGCAGAGCCGCATTACCTCATCGGCCCTCCAAAAAGGGGGCGGGGCCGGGGGCAAGGGGTAACGGGGCGGGGCCGCCCCCGGATCGTTCAGATCCTTATAGGGAATAATGCCGCCGTGGGCACGCGAGTGGGTGGGCTGGGGCGCGCCCGGGACCGGTGCTTGCCGCTGGGTCCTCGGAGCGGAGCCCTCGTGCCCCTTCTCGTCTGCGCCCTGGCCCCACGCCCACCTGGGCCACTGGGTGTCTCTGACCCAAACCAGAACCAACTAACACCCACCCACCCCAGCAGGACCGCTTCCACAGGTGAGGGGTGGCCATGTCCTAGAGACCTTGACTGTGCTTGGTGGAACCAGCGGGGGAATGCTAACTGCTACCCCTCCAGTTTCTCTGGAGAGAGCAGGCACAGAGGAGAAAGACCCAAACTCTCTCTCTTTCTCTCTCTCTCTGGTTCTTACTCTCTGGGATATGGGAAGCCATCTGCTGTTTGCAGCTGGCTATGATATATGATAGAAGACTGTTTTCTGTGCTCTCCCAGAGCAAACGGGGTTCTGTATTCATTCAACAAACACGGTTCAGGATGCTGGGTTAAGCAACACAAAGCCCTTGCCCCCGTGGACATCCATGAATGCACAGGGTGATTTTCTGTGATGCTAGGGCTATGAAGAAAACAAAACAGAGTTCTGGGTTGGACATGACTGGGGAGGGCCTGCTCTCTCTGCGATAGTAAGGGAAGGGCTCCCTGAAGTGCCATCCTCGCTGAGAAGTGGACAAAGACAAGGATCAGCTCTGGGGCAAGCCACAGGAGAGAGGTACCAGGCAGGGGGAACAGCAAGTGCAAAGACCCTGGGCATGTTTGAAAGACAGAAAGTAGAAAGGCAAGAGGAAGTGGTTCCCTGCCCATGGCTGACAGAGCTCCACCCTTCAGCAAGGGATTTGGGGGTGAGCTGATCCAAAACTGTAGTAAAACCAGGAGAACGATCCAGGATCCTAGACGACTAGCTATAATAGATGATTGCAGATAACTAACACAATTACTATCCTTATTATTGACATCTTGATTCTGCTTTGTATTTTTAAAAGCAGGATTCTGTATCTCACCGTATTATAGCTCTCACAATAATCTTTGTGGGTAGGAAAAGCAAGC